>NC_000004.12:85285017-85436532 GCF_000001405.40 Homo sapiens | reverse complement strand
ACAAAGAGAGACAGAGAGAAAAAGAGCTTACAGGGAGGAGAGGAGAGGGCAGAGGAATGAGTGTTGGAGTTAGACAACCAATGGGATTATAACAGAAATTCAGATGGTGTCTGTTCATATGAAATACACTCCAGGGCAGGCGCGGTGGCTTACGCCTGTAATCCCCGCACTTTGGGAGGCCAAGGCGGGCGCATTGCCTGAGCTCAGGAGTTTTCGACCAGCCTGGGCAACATGGTGAAACCCCGTCTTTACTAAAAACTTAAAGTATAATAATAATAAAATTAAAAAAATACAAAAAATTAGCCGAGCGTGGTGGTGGGCACCTGTAGTCCCAGCTACTCGGGAGGCTGAGGCAGGAGAATTGCTTGAACCTGGGAGGCGGAGCTTGCAGTGAGCCAAGATCGTGCCACTGCACTCCAGACTGGGTGACAGAGTGAGGCAACGTCTCTCTCTCTCTCTCTCTGTCTCTCTCTCTCTATATATATATATGTATATATACTGCAAAAATAATTATTCAGATCCTCTAAAGCAATTTATTTTCAAAGTGAAGGTACTGGGTATTACATATTTTCCAAGTAATTTGCTGTTTTACTGAATTTAATATTCTTCAAATGGTTTTGAATGCTTTCATGCCCATGATGGTGTTCACAGCAGGCAAAAGCCCTGGGAAGTTCATGAAATAGCTTCAGTTCATGTTCCAAATAAACACACTAATTGTTTAATTTATTTGCCTCCTAGACTGGTTCTGGAAAACAGCAGAGTTAGTGTTAATTATGTATATTTTTTCCATTTAACAATAAACTTGAATCTTATCAGCCCTACTTTCTACACCACAGATCTAAACTCAGCCACTGCTCCCATCTGAGGTTAATAACTAACATTGAATCCTGTGAATTAAAGCACAGAGAGAAAAATAAGAAATGAATTCTTAAATGCCTTTTATTTTTACTATTTTGTATGTCATTAGTCAGTACTGTGTCTTATTTTCAAAGTGTTGGTAAAAACAATAGTGGTTGATTTTAATGCTGTTTTCTTAATGCTGTTTGGGAATTTATTTTCCTGTCCCTTTCTCTTTTTCTCCTGTATTCTTCCACTAGCATTCAATGGCCCAAAAATTATTGACAATTTTAGATTCAAAATATCTCTTGATCCTTCTTCTCCTTTTTGTCCTTATTGCTGTGATCTTATTTTTAAAATACATTTTTACATTTAATTGATGTATAAATCATAAATAATAAAATTCTCAGGTCCTGAGTGTATAGTTTGGTGAATGTGATATATGCGGATGCCTGAATAATCTCTCTTTTTTTTTTTTTTTTTGAGACGGAGTCTCGCTCTGTCGCCTAGGCTGGAGTGCAGTGGCGCTATCTCCGCTCACTGCAATCTCTGCCTCCCGGGTTCAAGTGATTCTCCTACTTCAGCCTCCCTAATAGCTGGGACTACAGGCACGCACCACCACCCCCAGCTAATTTTTGTATTTTCAGTAGAGATGGGGTTTCACCATGTTGGCCAGGATGGTCTCAATCTCTTGACATCCTGATCCACCCACCTTGGCCTCTGAAAATGCTAGGATTACAGGTGTGGCCACCATGCCCGGCCCCCCTGAGTAATATCTAATCCAATCAAGATCGAAACATTTCTATCATCCCATGAGGTTCCCTCATGCCCCTTTCTGGGTAATCTTACCCTTGACCTCACACTGAGACAACCACTGTTCAGATATTTCTCTCCATAGATTAGTTTCACCTATTCTAGAACTTCAAACAAATGAAACTACATAGTATTTATTTATCTTGATTTGTTTCATTTGGCATAATGTTTTTGAGGTCTGAATATTAGAAATTTGTTCCTTTATACTGCTGGATGGTTTTCCATTGTATGTAAATACCATCCGTTGTTTATCCATTCTCCTGCTGACAGACACTTAAAATTATTTTTAGTTTGGAGCTATGATAAGTAAAGCTGCTATGAGTGTTTTTGTACATGTATTTCTGTGAACATGTGTTTTTACTTCTCTTAGACAAATATCTGAGTGAAACTGCTTGGCCATGACTCTAAGTCCTTATCATTGCTAACCTGGATTAGAGATATCCTAAATGATATCACTATTCCATTTATCTCCTTTTACTCTGTGGTGGAGAGAATATTGTCCCCCTAAAGATGTCCATGCCCTAATCTCTGGAACCTGTGAATGGAAAAAGGGAATTTGCAGATGTGATTAAGACTCTTAATCCTTATTCTGGATTATTCATGTGGGTCCTCATAAGAAGCAAGCATGAAGGTCAGAGACATCGGGAGTGATTGGAAGATGTTACGCTGCTGGCTTTGAGGATAGCAGAAGGGGCCACAAGTCAAGGAATGCTGGCATCTAGAAGCTGGAAGGAGCCAGCTTCAATTCTGCCCTAGAGCTTCCAGACAGAACATAATCCTGACCCCACTTTGATTTTAGGGCTCTGACCTGCAGAACTGAAAGAAAATACGTTTGTGTTTTTTTTAAGCCACATAGTTTGTGATAGTTTGTTACAGCAGCAATAGGAAACTAATTTACACTCTCCCAAACTGTCCAATTCATTCTTTCTGCCACCAGAAAGATCATTTTGACTTGACAGTTGGTTTTCCTCAATACCTTGCTTGAACGTTTTCTCCAGTATTAAATCAAAACTCTGCCATGTTGCATAAAGCCCCTCCCTCTCAGCCCCATCCCACTGTCCAGAATTATGGCCACCACTCTCCCTAAGAGTACTTTTCTGTCTATTTAGCACACTATTCTTGATTTCCCAATATTTCATACTCTTTCCCAAATCTGTGACTTCTGCTCTGAGGCTTCTTCCCCTAATTATTTAGTAGGTAAATGTTTGCTTATTCTTAAAGTTTTAGATCTATCATCACCTCTTCTGCAAAGCCTTCTCTTCAATGGGGGTCCGGACCCTTTCTTTGAAAATCCCATGAAATCTTTATTGTGACATGTATTATATACTGCAATTGTTTCATGGTAAATCTAACTCCAACTAGCGTGTGAGCTCCCTGAGGATAAGGACTGTGTCTTTTCATTGGTAGACTCTCACTACCTAGTATATAGTCCAGTACTTTATCAGAGTTATTGAATGCATTAATGAATATGTAATTTAATTTTTTTGTAATACCATAAATATAATTTTTCCAGTTGGTACATACTTATATTATATATATTATTGTTATTTTAAATCTTGCCAGTAGTCTTATTTATCATTTTGTTTCTTTAATGCATTCTTACACGTCTAAAGATGTTATTGTTTCAATTATCAATAAAATGCTGAAAAAAGAGATCTCTTTCTTTCTGTAAAAAAGGTAGATTCTTAAAGAGCTTTGAACCATAGTTTTAAAATAAAAACATCTATTAAGTAAAAAATACACCAATACATAATTGTTCTCATAGCACATTTACATACACACTTTTTTGCCATGACCTGCATGCATTCAACGTTTACAATCATGGATGTTCATTTAACATTGTTTCCGAGTTGCACTGGATAAGGGCATTTCCAGTTCTAATAATAATTGTGAGACCATGAATGATTACTTATTGGGGTCAGTAAAATCAATATGTTCTCAAAGTTGGCATAATGAAACCCTTCTGCATAAGATGAAACTTCAGAGCCAAGTCTTCTCCCTGAGGTTAAGAAGTGACATCTGTGAGAGGTGGGCTCATGTCCCATTTTTTCACTATACACATAGCACCAAACACAGAGCCTGATACTCAAATACTGTTGATTTAATAAATGAAAGAATGATTCTATCAGTTGCCTTGATGCAAGATTAGAGAGAGAAAATTCTAAGGACGTTATTGTTTTTAGGTGTTTATTACCCCATAAACTTTTCTAAGCAGAATTTCCTCCTTGGCAGTCACAACTAACCTATTATTTCTCTATTTCTTTCACTGTATGAAAATTCCAATTAAGTTCATTATTTTTAACCACAATAAATTGTCTCTATCTTTGCCTCTAAGCATTACTGAGATTGGAATGTACTGCTTATTTTAAAATAAAAATTACAGAAAAATATTGAAAGAAAGGGAAATGGATCAAGGAAAGTAAAAAAGAAAAGAAAATATGTGTTCATCTGGTGCCAATCCCAGCCCATCATCAGTTGAGCCAAACATTCCAAGGTACATTTGGTCCTTCTATCTCTACTTGCATTCTCTAATCCCCTATAGGCCTAGGCAGTGTAAAGAAGTTCAAGTTGCTCCAAAGTTCTCTTCCCTCCATCTACAGATCCTAACCATGTGCTACATACATGCTCTCAACAGTTCCTTCCAAAGAAATTCCTACTAACTCTGCTGTGTGCATTGCCTGCTGTTGCCAATGATTTGTTCCCTCTCCTAAAATAATCCTGGCTTTTCTATGTCTGCATTTGGTCTTCCTCTGAGAATGATGAATGACTGGAGAGAAGCTAGGAATACATGAGGAAAATGAACCACTTAACTCCTCTGTCACACACAGCAGAGTCCCACTGGTGGTGGCACTTAAAGACAAAGTGCTTCAGAGTGTGGGTAGAATTACAGGTTCTTACGCTGGTGTGCTATTTGGACCTCTCAACACCAAACATCTGACATGTCTGTCCACTGAATTTTGTTTATTTTTGTTATTTATATTTTGCTTTTACTTATCCCATGCCTAATATCTCTGTGCAGGAGACTTTCTTAACCTCCTTTTGACACATACAAAACAATATATTCCTTTTAAGATAGTAAGTTCTTTTTAGAGTTTTGATCTGTTACTAATGGATGTACTTGTAAGATATTCAAAAAATGACTTATCAAAATGTGTAACAAAAAATGGCACATGGTTTATAAATTTTAATCGTTATCCAAATGAGCAACTGTTTGTGGCTGAGACTCTGCCAAGTCACCTGTCCCAGTTCACACTTGGAGTGGTGAACAAGTTTGGATATCTTAATAGCAGAAGATATTGGTGGCTTCACTTTATCCTCAGTCTGATGAGTAATCCCTTAATATCGCAACACAGCACAGAGCACCGTATGTACTCCCTCACTGATAAACTGCTTTACCTACAGGCATTTTAATAAACAATGTAGGATGAAGATAATGATGGTTCAAATGTATGAAACAAATACAGATGCCACCTAGAGCTCTGGCACTGACTGGCCTGGGCTGCTCTAGACACCTCAGGACACACCAGAGATACTACTCCCAGTTCTCCAAGATTTCTCCCTGTGATGAGTAAGTGATGACAAGTGCCACCCCCTGCCAACCTTTCTTATAAGTTTCCTGAATAATAATAAAATGAAGCAAAATGTGGTTCCCTCTTTCTGTGCTGAAAAAAAAAAAAGGTTGTTAAAATAGAAAGAAACTTCACGGCTCATTTTCTCATTTCAATTCTCCCAATCCATACCGCCTTTGAGGCACATACTCCAAAAAGTTATATACTTGAGAAATTTGGCTACTTCTAAATGGCCACAACGTTATCAGCTTCTCAGATCCTGGAATCTTCACTCTCATGACCCAATTCCTCATTTATCTGCTTTGGAATCTGTAAGCCAAGAGCAGACCCAGATCCAGGTCCTGCTATCAATATTTAGTTGCCTGCAGACTGGAATCTGGAAAGGATTCACCTGTGAAGAATGTGTTTACAGAGGAAACAATTGCCCCTTGCATGGGGCCCTTCCTTTCCCCACCCCGCTTCAAACCTTCAACTCTGTTTACTAGATCTATGACTGAGCAGGGAGAATGATCCCCGGACTGACCCGAACAAATTCTTCAGCCCTGCCATGTCCATAACTTGCTCCCAGCTCGCCTCCCTCATAAACCCTATCATCACATGTTCCTGCAGTTAAAGAAAAATCTGCTTGTTTTTTAATTTGATGTAATACATCTCTTTTCCTCCAACTTCTCCTGGGAATAACCCCATTAAAATATAAATCAGACCATTTTCTTTCTTAAAACCAGTTTCCAGCGGGCATGGTGGCTGAAGCCTGCAATCCCAGCTCTGTGGGAGGCCCAGGCAGGTGGATCACTTGAGCCCAGGAGTTCAAAACCAGCCTGGACAACATGGTGAAATCTCATCTCTACCAAACAAACAAAAACAAAAAAGCAGTAATTAGCAGGGTGTAGTAGTGCACGCCTATAATCCCAGCCACTCAGGAGGCTGAGGCCGGAGGATTGCTTCAGCCCAGGAGTTCCAGGTTGCAGTGAGCTGTGATCCTGTGATTGCACCACTACACTTCAGCCTGGGTGACAGGGACCCTGTCTCAAAAACAAACAACCAAACAAAAAACAAAACAAAACAACAAAGCATACACACACACAAAACCCAAACAGTTGCTTCCAAGTGTACCTATAATAGAATCTAGATTCCTTCCCACGGCCTATATTACAGGGCTGTCTCCCCTCTCTATTGTGCCGACCACTGCCTCACTACTAGTTTATGTGCACACTCATGCATGGCAATGCATGTGCACACACACACCCCTTACACGACTGGCGTCTTCCACCTTCCAGATCTTAGCTTCTTAACATCACTATTCAGAGAGAAAACTGTGGTGGGCAGAATAATAACCTTCCCTAGGCATCTATATCCTCATCTCCAGAACCTGAGAATGTACTTGGTTAAGTGGCAAAGGGGAATTACAGTGCAGAGAGATTCGGGTTGCTCATCAGCTTACTTTCAATAAGGAGAGTATCCTGTGTTCCACTGGTGTTCCCAATACAATCACAAGAGTCCTTAACAGAGGAAGAGGAAGAAACCACTATGTAAGAGAGAACCAGAGAGATGGCAGCATAAGGACTCCACATCCTTGAAGACAGTAGTCAAGAAATGTGGTTGCTTGGAAGCAGGAAAAGGCAAGTAAATGTGGTTTACTTCTTCACTAGGGCCTCGAGAAGGCAGGCAGCCCTGCTGGCACCTTGATTCTAGCTCAGTGAGACCCATTTTATAATTCCGACAATAGAACTCTAAGATAATGAGTTTGTGTTGTTTTAATTAAGCCTCTAAGTTTCTGGCAATTTGTTACAGAAGTAATAGGAAACTGATCTAGACCTTCTTACTAATACAGCCTCTTCCTGTTATTTGCCAGATTTATTCAATAAATCCTTATTGGGTAGCTTCCATGTATCAAACGCCATTCTTGCTTCTTTAGATATACCCAGTGAACAAAATAGACAAAGATACCTTCCCTCATTTTGCTTTCAAGCTACTACATAAGCCCCTTATTTGGTTTCTTCCCCATAATTTGGGGGTTTGTGTATGATATTTTGCTTACTCTTTGGATTTTTGTTTGGGAATTTTGTTTTTATTATTTTGCTTGACTTCCCCATGACAGAAATCATGTCCATCTAGTTCATGATTATGTCAATCCAACAGTGTCTGTCACATAATGTGTTCAAAAAATATTTATTGAATAAGTGAATGACTCAGATAAAGAAGGGTCTATCAACAATGCATATTCCCTAGAAATTCCTCTTTAAGTTATTCTCTCTGGCTCCCTTTGCTTCAGTGCATTTATTAATCAAAGACCCATGGATCAGCACATATAAAGGAACTACAGCCCAAAAGAATCCTAATAGTAAGGCTATAAATAAGTTGGTGCATTTAATCCCAGAATGGCTGTGACACATGAGATTTCTTTCCTTGATAATGTCTTACATTTTCCTAGACCGATGGCTCCTAAAGGAAAGAAAACATGTTTTATTCACGACTTATGGTTATGATCCCAGCATTGGTTATTGTACGTGAAACACTCAATGTGTGGTTGTTGAATGAAGGAATGAACAATAAATATATTTATACTTCAGATTACAAATGTTTATGAATTGAGGCTTCATATGAAAAATTTTTGTTTCCTCCCACTCAGAGGATGTATGTTGACTTGCTGAAGTTTGCAGGATTATCTAAGAAAGTACATGGGCACTTGCCCACTGGTATCTAGCTTTTATTTGGGAGACAGGGTTGGTGAGTGTGTGGAGTGACTTTCCATACTTATGTAAGGGAACAGTAAATGGAATCAAGTATTTCTTGAGCAGTTACTTAATGTTCAGCCCTCTTCAGGGTGGCACTACCTTGCATCTATGAAAATGTTAAGTGGATGTCCTGAGAAAATTTTCAACCTGGCTTACAGAATATTTCAACCCTGATGCCAGGAACGCTTAGAAAGGGGACTGAAGGACAGTCATGGTGGAAGGTGGGAGAAGGACGATGATGATCAAGGGCACAGAGAAGGCATTAGTACAAGACAGCGATGAGGCAAAATTGTAGTATCTCTTTGTTGAAAATTCCCCAAAGTGATAAAACATGGACTCCTTCTTACATGTACTCATCATATGAGGATATATTAAAGGATTGTTTTAAAATGAAAATCAGTTGTATTTACATATGGAAAATATATATTTAGCCATTTCTAACTCTTCACATATTTACTTTTCACTTTAAAGACTAGAAGAATATAAACATAAGTGTAAAGGAAATTGGATATTTATTGAGTTGTCATATCCCTTTATTAAACTTCCACAGTTTATTTCCAGCTATTTGGACGATGCTGTTTCCTTAACTTCATGTCCATTCATTTCGGTTCAGAAAAATTCTTCAACTTGTAATAATTTTTCTATTCTCTTTTAGAAAATGTTTAAACTCTCTCAAACATTAACATGGACATACTAATTTTAATAAAAATCTGGAGATTAAAATTTTCTTCAGACTCATCCCAGCACTTGAATTTACACAATACAATTTGGTAATTACACTAGGATTGCAATGCCTCTGTCAGGTTAAAGATCCAACAATTCAAAATCTTTACTAAAGCAGATACAATTAAGATACTAAGTAATCTTAATTTTCCAAGAATGAAAATTACACTTAATCTCTTGACATCATGAATTATATACTGGATTCAAGAAATGTGGCTTTTATTTGGCAGACTGAGTGGTGCTTTGTGTCAATGCCATTTTAAGGGATATTGGTTGATGTCTGAAGATATTTATTTTCCAAGATGCTGAATTATAAGGATACCCATTTTTTCTCTTAACTCATACCACCTTATTTCAGCTTTTGATTTTCAACACACTTAGGGCAATAGATTGGGGATAAATTTAGCTTCAGGCTTTTCTGTTAAGAAAAATCTGTCATTGCTAAATAGTGTGTCAATGAATAGTGGTGATTACAGGAACAAAAGGAATGATTATTCACTACAGCAGGTCTTGTTAGTGATCACATCATTGAGTGATAAAGAGATATTTTGACAAAAGAGGATGTTAAAAATCCTGCATGATCTGTCACAGATGCCTCAGGTTCTTGTTGTCTGTAGAATGAACTGATCTGAAGCCCTTCTTGTGTTAAGAATGCCCTTCTTCTTAACTGCAGAATCACATTTCTATAAATGTTACTGCTTTGCTGACTAAATATGCTTCGATAGGAGTGCATGTACTCTTATGCACATACTCCTATAGAGTATGGGCTGGGCGCCTCATGCGCAGCACACACCTGTAATCCCAGTACTTTCGGAGGCCAAGGAAAGTGGATGGCTCAAGCTCAAGAGTTCAAGGCCAACATGGTGAAACCCTGTCTCTACAACAAATACAAAGATTAACTGGGCTTGGTGGCACACACCTGCAGTCCCAGCTACTCGGGAGGCTGAGGTGGGAGGATTGCTTAAGACTGGGAGGCAAAGGTTGCAGTGAGCCAAGATTGCACCACTGCACTCCAGCCTGGGCAACAGAAAAAAAAATAGTAAATATATATCTTTAGTATTTAATTTGTATATAATATTAAAATATATCTCTTTCTTTTCTTGACATGTGAGTTTTCAGAATCTAATTCCTAGTAAGAAGGATTACTAAAATCTAGAAGCTAATTGTTATACAAATTAAAGAGATGCTGTAGGAAATAATGAGACTATAGTGGACTAAACCTCCGTTTACTAAGGCATAGCATTAACAATGCCAAGGTCATTGGCCCCACCCCCATAGAGCTATTTAGTGTCACACAGAGAAAGAAGTTGCTATTTAAGGAACGCTTGGCCCTGACATTGAAATGTCTGCTATTGGTCACAAATGAGATAGCATGAACATTTTAATGAGTCTCATGATCCCAACTAGAAAAACAATTCAAATGCATTACTGAAAATCAATGGCATTATTTTTCTGATAGTATACAAAGGTATGGGAGCTGCTTTATATCGAAAACATAAACAAGCCAACCAAGCTCGCCATATAAGCCAGTAATGAATTTAAACACAAATTCTTAAAGAACGTGGTTTTGAATCCAAGTTTTGACATTTATTAGCTAGCACCACTGTACAAGTTATTTAAAATGGTCTTAGTCTTGCTCAGAAATAAAGCCACACACCTACAACCAACCGATCTTCAACAAAGTTGACAAAAATCAACAATGCGGAAAGGGCACCCTATTCAATAAATGGTGCTGGGAAAACTCCCTATCCATATGCAGAAGAATGAAACTAGACCCCTATCTCTAAGCACATACAAAAGTAAACTCAAGATGCATTAAAGACTTAAATGTAAGACCTCATACCATAAAAATCCTACAAGAAAACCTAGGAAAAACTCTTCTGGACATCAGTGTAGGCAAATAATTTATGACTAAAACCTCAAAGGCAAATGCCAAAAATAAAAATTGACAAATGGGATTTAATTAAAGAGCTTCTGCATAGCAAAAGAATCAACAGAGTAAAGAGACAACCTAGAGAAGAGTGGAAAATATTTGCAAACTATGCATCTGACAAAGGACTAATATCTAGAATTTATAAGAAACTTAACAAGAAAAACACAAATAACCCCGTTAAAATGTGGGCAGAATCAACCTAAGTGAACTAATGCAGAAACAGAAAACCAAATACCTCATGTTCTCACTTTTAAGTGGGAGCTAAACATTGAGTATACATGGACACAACAAAGGAAACAGACACTGGGGCCCACTTGAGGGTAGAGGGTGGGAGAAGTGTGAGGACTGAAAAACTACCTGTCAGGTACTGGCTTATTACCTGGGTGATGAAATAAACTATACTCCAGACCCCTGCGACATGAAATTTACCTATCTAACAAATCTGTACTTGTACTCCTGAACCTAAAATGAAAGTTGAAAAAAAAAAAAAAACTGTGCAGACTTTGTGCAGTGGCTCATGCCTGTAATCTCAGCACTTTGGGACACTGAGGCAGGAGAATGGCTTGAGCCTATAAGTTCAAGACCAGCCTGGGAAATAGAGTGAGACTCCATCTCCACAAAAAAATTAAAAATTAGCTGGGTGTGGTGGTGCATGCCTGTAGTCCCAGCTACTCAGGAGGCTGAGGTGGGAGGATTTCTTGAACCCAGGAGGTAGAGACTGCAGTGAGCCATGATCATGCCACTGTACTCAGCCTGGGTGGCAGAGTGAGACCTTGTCTCAAAAAAAAAAAAAAAAGTTAAAAAAAGAAGTGGGCAAAGAACATGAATAACATCACTAGTCATCAGATAAATGCAAATCAAAACCAAAATGAGATACCATCTCATCTCACACCAGTCAGAAAACCTATAATTTAAAAAGTCAAAAAATAATAGATGTTAGTGAGGATGCAGAGAAAAGGGAATGCTAATACACTGTTGGTGGGAATGTAAATTGGTTCAATCCTTGTGGAAAAACAGTATGAAGGCCAGGCACGGTGGCTCACGCCTGTAATCCCAGCACTTTGGGAGGCTGAGGCGGGTGGACCATTTGAGGTCAGGAGTTCAAGAACTGCCTGGCTAACATGGTGAAACCCCATCTCTACCAAAAAATATAAAAATTAGCCAGGCCTGGTGGTGTGTGCTTGTAGTCCCAGCTACTCAGGAGACTGAGGCAAGAGAATCACTTGAACTCTGGAAGCAGAGGTTGCAGTGAGTTGAGATCACACCACTGCATTCCAGCCTGGGTGACAAAGTGAGACCCTGTCTCAAAAAACAAAAAACAGCATGAAGATTTATCAAAGAACTAAAAATAGAACTACCATTTGACCCAGCAATCCTACTTCTATCTACCCAAAGGAAAAGAAATCATTCTATCAAAAAGATACCTGTATTCATATGTTTATTCAATCACTATTCACAATACCAAGTCATGGAATCAACCTGAGTGTCCATCAACACTAGATTGGAAAAAGAAAATGTGGTACATATACATCATGGGATACTACACAGCCATAAAAAAGGATAAAATCATGTTCTTTGTAGCAATACGGAGGCAGCTGGAGGCCATTATCCTAAGTGAATTAACGTAGAAACAGAAAATCAAACACTGCATGTTCTCCCTTATAAGTGGGAGATAAACAATGAGTACATATTGGCATAAACAATGGAAACAATAGACACTAGGATTCCAAAATGAGAGAGGGGCAAGAGTTGAAAAACTACTTATTGAATGTACATTCACTACTTAAGTGATGAGTTCAACAGAAGCTCAAAGCCCAGTATTATACAATATAAACATGTAAAAAACACCTGCACATGTACCCCCTGAATCTAAAATAATAAAAAAAGGTTCTCAGTCTTAGTTTCTCTATATAGTAATCCCTCCGCCCCCCTTCCACACACACAGGGTTGTTGAGGTTAAAATTGCTATAAATAAAAGTACTTAGCATGTAGTAGCAACTCATTGCTGTCATATGTTGCTTACTTGCTGCCAATAATTCCTGCCCTATTAGGCAGAGGTCACTGAACCCATGAACTTTTTAATTACCCCCTATTTGCCAGAACCAGACAACCCAATTCGGTTCAACTCGATGCTTGTTCATTATGTCCTTACTCTGAAGCCAGTACAGTATTATATATTGAGTATACAAAGATAGAAATGACACATGACAGGGACAATTCCTCAGGGAGTTCAAACTAGTAAAAGACTCAACAGACAGTGACAACTGTTCATAGTGAACACTCTGTAAATGCTGGTTGAATTGATAGATGAATAATGGCAAATGACTAGTTACTCCTACATCATTGCTTCCTGTCTAATTACATTTCTGCCTTTCTGTATTGAAACACAAAACCACAACATATTTGTGTTCTTTGTCATTGATACTTCTACCCATACCTGCTAAATCAATCAGCCAGCAAATGCTGTTCATGAATTGTGATGCCATGTGAGCAGGTTATCATTATTGTGCTTCCTTCATTCCAAAATGACTGTAATCACAAGTTCATAAACTAAGTGCAAGAAAATCAAAGCAGATGTGTATACTGGAGGGAGTTAAATTTGTTCAAAGAAAATAGATTGTCTTAATTACCCTTCTGTTTTCAGTAGCAAGCTAAAAAAAAGAGCAAGCATGGTGCTCTGAATTATTGATCTCAAAAATGCATTGAGTAAAGTTACTTTCTGCAATAGAAACTATTCTAATGCCTAAGAAAGAATCTAATTTTAATATATTCTTTCATGATGAAAATAGCGACAAAATTTTGTAAAATCTAGAAAAGCAAAAAATAAAGCAATCATGAAAATGCTTTGCTATTTGTATCTTTGTTCTTCTCCCATATTGTTATTTTGTATAGTTCTAGTCAATTTATGTTTAAAATATGAATTCTGCTTTCCAAAACTTCATAGTTGTTTTGATGCATTATTTTCTTGTTTTGATGCATTATTTTCTTCTGACCACATACCATGTACCATTCACCCAACCCCGTCCAACACTCCTGCGTGGTCACAGGTGCAAGCTGTGATCTTCTCTTGATGCTATTTCAATGGCATGGTTGATTGGCCCAGAGGAGGGCACCAGGACTGGGTCTCCGGGGGTCTTCAAAGGAATCTAGATTTGGTACCAAAAGAGAAAATTGCACCAGCTTTTTTCCCCCATTGCCTAAAGCAGTGGATTGTTAAAAAAAAAACTGAAAAGAATCTGTTATGTACATTTCTGTATGTATATATTACACTGTATATGTAGATAAATGATTAATAGCTACACATATGCAATCTACTTTCACAATAAAGATGAGATGTCCTGAGTAAATTTCACTTATTCCCAAGGCTCAGACTTGTTCCTGCTTTCAGACTCCATGTATCATCACTGCACCCTTGGAGTAAATTAAGCAATTTGCTTAAATTAGTTCAATTTGGGTTTCTGTCACTTGCAATCAAATGAATTTTAATATAATATTATATCAGTGATTTTCCAATTAGAACATGGGATGACCAAATTTAAATGAGAAAACAGTAAGATTCAGCTATAGAGCAGAAGAAAGTCTAAGTTAAAAAATAATTGTCAAATCAATCAATATGTCTTTCAACAGGTGGATGGATAAGCTGTGGTACATACATATATTAGAATATTATTCAGCAATAAGAAGAAGTGAGATATCAGGTCACAAAAAGCCATGAAGGAATCCTAAAGGCATATTGCTCAGTGAAAAAAAGCCAATCTGAAAAGAAAGGCTACATACTGTGTGCTTCCAACTATATGACATTTTGAAAAAGGCAAAACTATGAAGACAGTAAAGAGATCAGCGGTTGCCAGGCATTAGGGGAAAGGAAGTGTAAATAGTCAGGGAACAGAGGATTTTTAGGGCAGCGATACTACTCTCTATGATACAGTAATAGTGGATAATCAGTCATTATAAATTTGTCCAAACCCAATACACAGCCCAATGTAAACTTTGGCTTTAATTCATCATAACATATTAATATTGGCTGATCAGTTGTGAAAACTGTACTGCGCTAATGCAAGATGTTACTAATGGAGACGCTGGGAGTTGGATGAGGGGGGTTATGGGAATTGTAACTTTTACTCAATTTTTCTGTAAGCCTAAAGCTGTTTAATAATAATAATAATAATAACTTTCACCTTCAAATCTGTCTCTGCCCCTCTTCAAATTTTCGAAGACCATTTAATAGGTTGCCAATAACAAAATTTTTTATACTATACATTATAGGCCCCTTGAAGACAGGGTCTTCCAAAGTTTCATAATTCACTTAGAATCTAAGAGTGTTTATATATTGGAGGTACCCAATAAATATTCAATAAATAGCAGATGGATGAAGGAATATTATATTTTTAACAAGCTGATGTGTAGCCTTCAATCATTTAAAGTTGAAATGACTTTTTTTCAATTAGCCCTTTGTTTCCTCTCTCTTTATCTATACACTATTCACATGCCAAGTATATTTTTCATGTGTCTAAAAATAAATTTAAGTTGGATTATGAGCTATAATTTTTGTTCAGGAATAAAAATGCAAACCAACAAAATGTTTCCAATTAGAGACAACTGTTTCCTTTTCATTTAAAATTTAGTCTCCTGGGGTGAATAATTAAATTCAGCCCACCTCCCCTTTACTGCCTCAAGGTAATATGAGTTACTAAAGGGCTTACATGTCATCCTGGCCCTGTGAAGGAGGGTCTGGTCTGGGTGCTGGCCTTTGCCTTCACCTGCGCCGGTAGTCAGAGTCTGTCCTGTCTGCATTTGCATCCCTAGTCTTGCCCAGGCCTCAGGCTGATTTGTGTGCACTGCTGTGGTCTCTTGTTTCCAGCCTCAAGCTCTCTCCTGGTACACCCGCCCACTGTCAGCTTACTTTGTATCTTCTTGGAGTATGTGGGGGTTTCAGATGGTTTCGTGTGCTATGCGTGGGAGCTCTGGCTCCTGTGATACTGTCTGCAGTTTTATCTTCTAAACTCTTAAGGTCTTAGGCCTAACACATTTGTACTCGCTCTTCCCTCTGTCCTGTGGTTTATATCACTCTGTTAAAATATTGCCTTCTCACTCTGTTAAAATATTGCCTTCTTAATAAGCCAATCCTAATCATCCTTTAAATTTTAACACACTCTTGTAATCTTGATTCCCTCTACTACTTTTTTCTTACTTAATATTTTTTCATAGTAATTATCTTTTAATATATTTTCACTTTTTCATCATGTTGTTTATTTTCTGTCCTCACCCTCCTACCCAATGTAAGCTATATAATAACACAGAGTTTGTTTTTCTCTTTTTTTACTGCCATATGCCAAGTGTCTAGAACAGAGACTGGACTATAGTTAATGCTTGATACCTCTGTTCTGGACAAATAAATATCTGGCCTTTTAAATAAAACTGGCCCTTCTTGCACTAGAGAACAACTCTGTAAATGCCTGCTGTATGCAACAATGCCTGTCCCTGTCATTCACACACATGCTAGAGTCTCCATTCCCTCCCATTTTTCTGCTTGCCTATTCTCTCTCTTCTCATCCTGACCTCTCTCATCTTATGCACTATTCTCATATGTTCAGGATCTGCATTTTGTCTTCTTTCTCAGAGTGACCCCTTTGTACTTCCTCCCTCAGCTTCTCCACCTTGACTTCTTTTTAAAATATGGTTCTGTAAACTATCTTAGGCATAGTGTTTCCATCAGTCCTCATGACAGAACCTCCATTATACTTTGTACTCTCAACTCTCTGCTTCTGAAATACAGCAGGCAATTGGCACCATGGGAATAAATACAACTGCTTGGGGAGACAGGATAGATTGAGACAAATTCTGAGCATGGTACCCTGGCAAGTAGTAGAATTTAAGAGATGAGAAAAAATAGAATAAGTGAGGAGAAACTAAAAAGATAAAATTAGAGAAGAAAAGAACTCTTGGAAGTCAAGAAGGAAAAAGTAAGTCAAGAAGAGAATGGCCATCATTATTTTCAAATGCTCATGTACAGTCAAATAAAATTAGATCTGAAAACACTCCATTGTTTTTAGCAATTAAACAGGACATTGCATTCTTGTAGGATCTGTTTCTGTGGAATTGGTGGAGGGTGGAACCTAGGCCAGATGGTAATGAGCTGAGGCAAAAGGGACGAGGATGTAGTTTCCCCAGCCCATCGACCAGATGTGTGTGAATGAACCCATCTGAGACCAGAAGAACTGCTCGGCTGAACCCAGCCTAAATTCACCTCCACCCACAGATTCATGACCTAAATGAATGATTTTGGTTTAAGTCACTGAATTTTGGGCAGATTTTTAATGCAGCAAAGTCAATATTGTATAAATCATATATAAAAATAGATAAGGGGAGTTAGGGAAGAAAAAGAGTCTTAGAATTTGGAAAAGGGGATAGTAAAGCAAGGCAAGTAAGAAAATATTAAAGATTGAGATTTTAAGAAAATGCAGAGAAATAGACGTAGATGGAATAAATGTATAGGTTAGAAGGTGAGATATTTAAGAAGGGAATTCATGGCCTGAAGACTCAGATTCATAATCCGGAGATTAGTCAGAAGACTGAAGAGAGTGCCAAAGCTTTGATTGATTCCCTCTTAAATAATGCTGTTGCTAAGAGACCTGTGTTCAGTCACACTTCATTTATCACCACACACTTTCCTCCTCATCCATTTCTGAATTACCTAGCAAGAAATACTACACATGGTTTACTACTTACTGGATGATTTTCACCTACCTATTGCTATGAAATGAGAATCCAATTGAAACATTCCTGCAAATTCTTCAAAATAAGTAAGCAAGAGATGACATCCATCACTGGAAATATAGACTATTAGAGTCCCTTTCCTTTCTCAGCATCACATGTCCCATGACAGTATTTGAAGTTCAACTAAAATGCTTCAAAATAAATCTGATTCAATCAAATAGCAAAAAGTAAAATTATTTTGATTGAGAAAAATTTAATGTTAGGGGCTGAATTTTGTCCTCCTAAAATTCATGTATTAAGGCCTTAACCCCTAGTACCTCAGAATGTGGCTGTATTTGGAGATAAAGTCTTTAAAGAAGTAATTATGTTAAGATAGGGGCATTAGGGTGGGTCCTAATACAATATGACTGATTCCCTTATAGGACAGTGTAGGATATCCAAATGTGTGGCCAACAACTCAGGCCATGAATTCCCTTCTTAAATATCTCACCTTCTAACCTATACGCACTGTAGGTGTGATGAAGTCCAGTCTGAAATGCAGGGAACCTCAGCGTATGCACAGGTACAATCTTGGGATGATGCCGAGAGTCAGGTGGATGGGGTCCTTTCTGGGATGCTAAATTTATACAGAGTGAACCATATCTATCTGTAGGTATGGAGAAAAGTCTGGTTCCCTGAGAGGAGAGGATGTGAAAAGTAAGGGAGGATAGCAGAGTTCCAGTGAAGCTGATCAGTGTCAGGGTAGGTAGGTAGTCAAATCCCATATGAAAACCAGAAGGCTCAGCCACACACACAGTTTAATCACTGGACCAGCTGAGTTGGGCCAGCTGCAAAAGTGCTTATGGGAAGACAGCCGTGTGGTAGAAAGAATAAACTGACTGGTTGAAACATGGCTAACTCTATAGCGCCTTCTTCTGGCATAGGTAGGGGTTAGTTAACCTACTGCCTGTATTTGCCAGGGCTGTTCCAAGACCTGGATTGAGCTGAGCCAGCCAGTGGCAGGAATTGTCAGTGTCCATAGCTAAAATGATTGTAATGGTTGGGCACGGTGGCTCACACCTGTAATCCCAGCACTTTGGGAGGCCAAGGCAGGCGGATCACGAGGTCAAGAGATCGAGACCATCCTGGCAAACATGGTGAAACCCCGTCTCTACTAAAAATACAAAAATTAGCTGGGCGCGCCTGTATTCTCAGGAGGCTGAGGCAGGAGAATCACTTGAACCCGGGATACGGAGCTTGCAGTGAGCTGAGATGGTGCCACTGCACTCCTGCCTGGAGATAGAGCGAGGCTCCGTCTCCAAAAAAAAAAAAAAAAGAAAGATTGTAACAATGTCTGCTGGAGAGATGCAGACATGACACAGAAACAACAAGATATTCCAGGACGAGAAATTGCATGAGACTCTCCAAATTGTCCTTTTTACACCCTGAAAAGGGATTTAAAATATTACTCCACATTTCTGCATTCTTAGTACTTAGCTGTCTAAAGCAGCAGAATCCAAACTGTATTTCCAAATCAATATGTCAGGCCTTACCTTGGGACTGAGTATGGCATTAAAAATTATTTTGTGTGTGAGGGAAAAGAAGGAGCAAATCAAATAAGCTTTCTGCTTTCTTTCTAAAGCCCATTTTATTAGGCTGGTGCAAAAATAATAGAAAGCCTTGATGTTTATTGAGATGTGGCAGAGGTAACCTCCCCACATCTCTTTAGATATGTCCCTTCATTAGAAGGATTGGAGAATTTATAAACCTCATTGAAAACAGAATTTAGAAAGGAAAATGTTCTGATATGTTGGCCAGAGTTCTGGTATGATAATGCCATCGAATACACAATCCCCAAATCTCAGTAGCTCACAACAACAGATGTTTATTTCTGTCTCGGGGGGGTGGTATGCAGGTTGGCCAGGATAGGTCTACCTCAGGCTGTGGGTCAACTTCAGGTTCAGGTCTGCTCTGCATGCCTCTAGTATTGGATCTAGTGGCTCCCGAAAGCACAGTCTTATCATCTAGATGGCAGAAGGACAAGAAACCACACCTAACCATGCTCACACATTTGGAACCTCAGTTCACGTGACATCTGCTAACATTTCATCAGCCAAACTAAGGCTCATCACCAAATCTGAAGTCGTTGGGGCAGGATGTATACCCCACCTACTCTACTGGGAAGTAATGCAAAGGCTGTAAATGTATAGTCAAGTACAGGGTGAGAGTGAAGTTGGGGAATAATAATATAATTTATCAGAACAGTTTTTTGGTAGCTGTGGCTATGACATCTTCTAGAGTACTTGGGAGTAGAGATGAATTTCCTGCCTTGATGCCCCGATTTCTAGGAACTTTAACAAGAGGTGGCATCTATAAACATGGATTTGTGCCTGCTAGCCATTTCTATCTTTATAATGAGGTATAAAATTCAAAGGGAATATGTCTTAATTATTTGTCTTTCAGGTGATTGAACAATAATATAAAATTATTACTTTGACTTTTATAAGAGTTTCTATTGAGTTAATAAAAGCAATCATCTTTGTCAGCTGGACAGTTAAGATATCACCAGTCAGCCAACATTACATATTACAGAAATTCACAAGACTATCTCTAAGGCCTATTACCTTACACTAGGCCATGGTGAAATTTACTTTGACAAGTGATCAGTAAAAAGAGATCACAGACATGGAAGTAGTAGCACAGCAAAGCATCTAAGGCTTAGACGGTACAGATAGGACCTTGGGCACTGATATGGTGCTGTGTTAAAAACCAGGTTCGAAAGCCCTTCTAATGAGAATCTCTCAGTAATTCAAGCAGCACTGACCACTGAAATCTGGATACTCTTTTGTGAATAGATAGGAGGTATCAGAGTGTTCTGTTCACTCATTGGTAATCTTCTCTGCTAGATAACCTTTGCCTAACCAGTTGTCCAGTTTAGTGGTTATTGAATGTGAAAGTAACCTTGAGCAATGTCTGAATAGTCATTCTCATTGCAGGTCTTCACACGTAGACCAGTTCTCTAATGCATGCCATTTGAAGCAAGACTACATTTCCATGGTAGATTAATGAAAATTAATGTATTAGAATATATTAGAAAAAATAAAAAGTAAAATAAAAATGAAAAATGCTAGAAACTGCTTAAGATTCTAGAAGTTAGGGTGTTTGCAATTTGTACATTTGGATGATGAGCATCAGCCACTTGTCCAGGAACACAGACACCTGCACTTCATAGGAAGGCAAGTTTTTCAGCAATCATTTCTGATATTGTATAAATGTCAGCTCAATAGTACTGATCTTATTCCTTCTGAGAACTTGGTACTGTCTTTGTTTCTTTGTAGTTCTTGTTGTTGCGTAATGTAGAGAGTTTGGCTGGGATATTCCACAGAGTTTTTTGGAACAATAAAACCCTGCCTTATTGAAAGCCCCTTAATTAACAGATTTATCCATTACGATGCACATCCAGACATAAATACAAAATATGTATCTTTCACATTCTTCCTGAGAATCCTAAGTTAAAAGCAGCTGGGGCAGACCGTAGTTGAAATCTGAATATGGCATGCCTGGATATTGATTTCTAGGAATCCCGGTCTCTATAAGGATAAACGAAATTTTGAAGACTTGCTATGTTCAGAGAGTCAAAAATATCAGAGAAAAGAACCTCCATTTTTTTCATCATGTGTAAATATCGACATTCCCTGACTTATGATGGTTCAATTAACATTTTTTTGACTTTGTGATAGTGCCTTCAACTGTGTACATTAATAATGGTGAGTACCATACACCCATTTTGTTTTTTACTTCAAGTACAGTATTTAATAAATTACATGATATATTCAACACTTCATTATAAAATAGACTTTCTCTTACATGATTTGCCCAATGGCAGGCTAATGTAAGTGTTCTGAGCACATTTAAAGTAGGCTCAGCTATGATGTGTAGTAGGTTAGGTGTATTAAATGCATTTTTGACTTGATGATATTTTCACCTTATGATGGGCTTGCTGAGTCATAATCGCCTCGTAAGTCAAGAAGCATCTTGACTTACAGGAACTGACTATAGCAGAGGTAGGAAACATTTGGCACAGAAGGGCTCCTGGACCTACAGAGCCTTCGATAAGCCAGGCTGTGCAGGAGAGGAGGAATGCCTCATCCCTCACCTTTGATTTCTTTGCCCATTTCTTTGGCATCACTCCCTCTACCCTAAACCTCCCCTCCCTCTGTTCCTCAGTGTCCACATTTCCTACTGAAATTATCTCAATTTCTTAACTTTTCCTCTAACAGCAAGCATCTGGCTTGCTAGCAGATTTGTGCGGCCTTTAAAGAAAGATATTTTATGGCACAAGAATCTTGATTTTTCTTAAATCAATTCTTCTGTTGACCAACAAAATAGCTATAGTGCTTGTTCACCACATCTCTTTCCACCATTTGCCTGTTTTGTCTTGTGTTCTTTCCTGTTGTTGATCTGCTCCTGCCTTTGCTTGCTTTCTGTTTTTCTCTCTCTCATCTCCATACCCTCCTTTACTTTTAGATACTCACATTTTCTTTATTTTTCCCATTTCCACTCTACATCTACAGGTGCCTGTGTACTGATTATTTTCATTCAAATAATCAGATTATGGCTTTAAAGGAATCTTAGCGACCATCTAGTCAGAAGCATTATTTTACAGGCGAGGAAGCTGAGGTCCAGAGAGATTGTGAATTTCCCAATATCACCCGGCTTGTGCCTGCACTCAGAACCAGAAGGCAGAATTCTGGAAACACAGCTCATTCTTTGCCCACAATGGCTAACAGAATTGTCAGCCCCCGAGTGGTGGCTTTCTTCCATTATTCTAATGACAGCATCTATTTATTGACAAATGAATGTGATGTTGCTCAGCTTTGAACATGATGCAAGTCCAGTATATTTCTGCCCCTGCTCCCAATCAAAATCAAATAATAAGTCACCCAAAATGCAACCCTAGTGCCTACTCTTCTCCCACCACTCCTACATGTTGCTGTGTCTAGTCCCAGAGACAACTGTCCATGTCATCTTCTAGTCATAGGACCACTCCTGTCTAGAGTGCTCTGAAGTATAAGGAATGGACTCATGGTATAAATGAGATGCAGAACTGGTGACAAACATAGAACCATACAATTTGGGGGTACAGGAGGTCCCGCAGCAGACAAATTCCCCTACTATTAGAGAGCTTAGCTTGCAGGTGGTTGGGGTGTACCCGTCTAGGCTTTCAGCTTTTAAATCACTGTTGTTGCTGCTACTCATTTTTTGTTTATTTGTTTGTTTGCTTGCTTGATTTTTAAATCTCAGAGATTGATCAAGACAGGTTTTCTGAAATAAAATTAGAGCCAAAAATAATTTCTGAGTTTCCTTCCATTGCATGGGTTGTACTTTTCATATTTTCTACTTTTAATCATCAAAAGAAAAAATAATGACAGCTAACATTTACTAAGGGCTTATTCTAAGGCACTGTGTCTTTACATGGGTTACCTTATTTCGCCCTCACAGAAATTCCACAAATTAGGTTCTATTATTAGCCATGCATTGCAGATCAAACAACTAGCCATTAGAGGTGGCTGGATTGGTAGAAGTAGCCAGCAGTAGACTTCGGAGTGGGCATTCTTGAGGTACTTCCATAAAAGAGTGGATACAGCAATTGTAGCCACTTCCAATTCAGTTTGCACCTTGCCACTAAACTAATATTTTGTAGCCCTTTCAATCCTGCAGCTGTAGGAAAATAGTGGTTCCCTTTTCTACAGTCCCAGCACCCACTTTCAAGCTATGCCTTATCAATTAAAAAACAACAGCAACAAAAAAGGATTACCCTTTTTGCTGTTAGCATTATTAATCCCATCCTGAATTGGTCCAGCAAGTATAAATCAAAATCTGCTTAGCCATTTTTTTTTGTTGGCAAAGAACAGAGGATTTACCCCGCACTCATCATTTTCTAATTTGCATTTCATCTCACACAGTTGATCTATTAAACAAGTCATTTGTAACTTGTCAGACAGATTAAATTTAGCTGATCTCAGACAAATGCATAAATTGCTTTCAAAATTTTCAGATTTCCACCCAGCAAAGGGCTATTTTTTTTTTTTTTTGCAATGCAACATGTCGTCATCTAATACAGAAACCAGGAGCCATTCCACATATGCTTACTTTCATGCACAGAATTTAAAAACTAAAACATGAATTCACAAGCCAGTGAATTTTGCTTTTTAGATTACACATCATCTATTTTTGCAAATTAGGGTTGTATCCTTTCTAAAGGGAAATCTGTAATTTACAAATCGAACATTTGAAAATAGTTCCAGGTAGGTCGGGCGCGGTGGCTCACACCTGTAATCCCAGCACTTTGAGAGGCTGAGGTGGGCGGATCACGAGGTCAGGAGATCGAGACCATCCTGGCTAACACGATGAAACCCCGTCTCTACTAAAAATACAAAAAATTAGCCGGGCGTGGTGGCGGGCGCCTGTCGTCCAGCTACTCAGGAGGCTGAGGCAGGAGAATGGCGTGAACTCGGGAGGCGGAGCTTGCAGTGAGCCGAGATAGCGCCACTGCACTCCAGCCTGGGTGACAGAGCGAGACTCTGTCTCAAAAAAAAAAAAAAAAAGAAAAATAGTTCCAGGTAAAAATCTAAGACAAATACGTGTCAACGACTGATGCTGAATAGTCCTTAATTATCAGTGGCATGTGTAAGAGAACAAATAAGCCATTCCAAGCTTAAAACACATAAATAAAATAGAGAAAATTATGCGTGACATTTCTTCTGGAATCTGCATTTATTTGCAAAATGCAGATAATTTTTATTCTGAAAGAGGAAAAGCACCGAAAATACATCTTTGCAAAGATAACTCTTCCGATTGGGAACTTTATCCTGCTGTTACATTTTCTCTGGCACCTGACTCCTTCAAGTACATCACTGTTTTCTGTATCTATAGTATCTTCCTCTCCACTGGTTTATATATTTTTAGCTCATTTGAACATATCTAGATGTCCTCTTTTGTTTAAAAAAATAAAATTATTTTTAACAATGCTTTCCTTCACTTCTTTTTGAAAAACAGTTTATTCTTAGTGTCTTCACTTCTAATAATTCTTTAAAATACTCACTTATTCATCTATTCATTAATTCGACAACTATTATTAAGTATGTACTATACATAAAACATTGCAGTAAGTGCTGTTGGAAAAATATATATATAAATAATTGTGTCCCATGTTTATCCTATCATCTACTTTCAATAAAAAACTGATTCAATAAGACTAAATCATTATAATTTAATAATTGATTACATGTAATTTCTTCCAGAGATTTGCATGTTTTAAGGTTTTTCAAAGCTACGCTTTAACTTCTAGTGGTAGAATTCAGGCACCAGGAAGAAATATGTTTTGAAAGGGACCACTGCCTCTGTCTGTGCTGGGATTGAATGGGAAGCTAGAGAAGAGGCAACAGTAGACAGCAAAGTAGAGGTGATTGAAAAGGGGGAGACAGAATGAGATAGAACTGGTGAAAGCAGGATTTCAATCATGGCTGATTTTGCTTCCCAAGAGACGTTTGGCAATATCTGGAGACATGTTTGGTTGTCACACAGGCCAGGTGGTGCTAATGGCATCTTGTGAGTAGAAGGCAAGAATGCTGTTAAACATCCTGCCATGCACTCGACGGCGCCCATGACAAAATTATCCAGCCCAAAATGTCAATATTGTTGCAACTGGAGAAACTCTGGTTTAAAGGAATGAGTATGAATTTTCTTTCTTTCATTGCATACCATGGCAGTGATGATCAGATAGCAATTCGTAAATGGTAGAGTAGGCCTATGTTCTATAGGAAGACAAGTCCTGATAACATTCTGTCAATGTTTAGGAAACAACACAATTCTTTTCATACAAACAAGGTGGCAAGAGAACTAGAGAGAAAGGGAGAGAGAGCAGCTATGTATTGTCAAAGGCACTGGGCTGCTTGCTCCTCAGATACCTGGGTTTGAATCCAGCCTCACATCCTCAGATAACTGGGTTTGAATCCAGCCTCACATCCTCAGATACCTGGGTTTGAATCCAGCCCCACATTTACAAGTACTGGTGACTTGGACAAGTCACTAAAAATGTCACTAATCTAGTTTTCTCATCTATGAAAATAATCTAATAGGGTAAAGGACTAGAACAGATAACATCCAAGAATGTGTCTGGCACATACCAACAACTACATGGCTTACATCTATGGAGCTCTTACTGTTTGGCATTGTTCTAAGCATTTTGTATGTATTAACTCATTCAGTCTCATAATCAAAGATGGGTTAGGTAGTAGTATCTTCTCCATTTTATCAGATAGGCAAATCTAGGCATAGAGGTATTAAATGACTCTCTTAAGATTGAAGGACAGAGCCCACACACTCTCACTAAGTTTTTCAGAAGTGTTGGTTGATCAGTTGCCTCAGACATTAAAGATAATTAAGTAGGAGGAGAACTGTTTGGTCAACAAATTATTCTTAAGTGTCTACTATGTGCTAGTCACTAGAGCTAGAGTAATGAGTATTTTAGTCTATGCTGCTACAACAAAATACCTGTAATTATTGGATAATTTATTATTCTGGAGGCTGGGAAGTCCACAATCAGAGTGCTGGCAGGTTTGGTTGTGTGAAGAGGGCCACTCTCCACTTCCAGTATGGTGCTTCATTACTGCATCCTCTGGAGGGATGGAATGCCGTGTCCTCACTTGGTGGAAAACCAAAAAGCAAGCTAACCCAACACTGTGCGAAGCCTTTTATAAGGGCCTTCATCTCGGTTTCAAGGGAAGGAGCCCTCATAACTTAATCACCTCTTAAAGGCTCTACCTCTTAATACAAATCACAAATACAATCACATTGGCCATTAAGTTGCAACACCTGAATTTTGGAGAAGATACAGACATGCACTGGAGATATGGCAGGTTCAGTTCAGACCACCTCTTCATTCTCAATAAAGACAATGTGTCAATAAAGTGAGTCTCAAAAATTTTTTTATTTCCCAGTGCATATAGAAGTTAGTTTATACTATACTGTAGTCTATTAAGTGTGCAACAGCATTATGTCTAAAAAGCAATGTACATACCTTAATTTTAAAATACTTTATTGCTAAAAATGCTAACGATCATCTGACACAGAGACACAAAGTGAGCCCATGCTGATGAAATGAAAAAATAGCGCCAAAAGACTTGCTTGATGCAGGGTTGCTACAAACCTTCGGTTTGTACAAAAAGCAAAGGAAAAAAGAAAAGGAAAAAATGCAACATCTGTGAAGTGCAATAAAGTGAAGTGCAATAAAACAAGGTACACATGTACCTTCAAACCATAGCAATGAGTGAAACAGATATGGCACCTGCCCACATGTAACTTACAACATCAGCTAGTATGCACAAAAGAAAAGCTTGTAAATGATGTGAATTCCCAGACTCATCTCTGAGAATCCAGTTTGGTTTATCTGTAGCAGGGCTCAGGATTCTGCATTTCTAATATGTATACCTAGTGTCTGATGCAGATGGTCTGATGACAGTACTTTGCAGAACAATTGGTCAATCATTGGTTCTGTAAGGTGTGCTACTGGGTTGAAATGGGACCACATGAGTTCATTACAACTCAATAACCATCACTGGGAAAGCAATTTGAAATATATGCTACATACTAGACAATTGACTCATTAAGGGCAGGGAGAATATCAGAGTAGCACTTAAGCAAGAAAGGTTATCTGATGGGCATTAACTCCTAATAAGAGACCAGTTAGGAGTCAGGAATACTCAAAGCCCCTTTCCAACAGGAAGCCTTTTGCTACTCACGTAAAAGCTATTTCCTAGTTAATTCCTCTAGAGGCCATGCAGGACCTTGACTCATTGCGGAATGGCCTGACTGAGAATCAAGAAAATCTGACTGCCATGGAGGATGAGAAACTCAAAATTTTAGTTCTTAGCAGTAGTTTCTATTTTCATTCCCCACATTGAGATTCTGCCTGTTCCATTTGCCTGGATATTAAATATGAATGACAACCAAAGATTTTGCATGTATCGTTATCTAAATAATAAAAATTCAATGTCCATTAATTTTAAAACTACTATATGATTAAAATTATAACCCTTATAAAGTGTATTGTCCAACAGAAACATTAAAAACTAATGCCCTAGAACACTGATTATACACTGGTGTTAAGGAGAGACCATTGCTGGAAGAACCAGAAGACCTGGGTTTTACAGGCGTCACTAGCCATAGAGGTTGTAAAATTCACTTAATTGCCAGGGATATCCAATTCCTCTATAAAATGAGAGGCTGGTCAAATTGACCTACAATAATATTTTCTAATTTTTGTTTACAAACCTATGTGGAATATGAAATTAATATAGTGACTCAAGAATCAAATAAATAATAATAACATTCTTGTTTATAATAACTATAAACATTTTTATTTTGTGTGTATTTTGTGTATATGTTTGTTCTAGATATACATATGTAGATACTGAGTCATGAAAATGTATTTCTTATTGTAGATTTTAGTCAACACAGTTGGAAAGTCACTGATTTAGAAGACCTTTCAGCTCTAAGTTTCTCTAATTCTGTGATTTCACCTCACCTGTTACTGACCTTGTAAATCACCACATGATACTAACAAATCCAAATTTGTTTCTGCTTTGCTACAGAGTCAAGCACCAGATGTGTCCATTATCAGCATATTCTAAAGAATGTTTATGCTTCCAGAACTGCCCAATCTCCTGTGGCCTCTTCTGGCCTCTTCTTCTCTTATGACCTGATTCTGGTATTTTTCGCTGACCAATAGAGCTAAGATAAAACTGGACTACATAGCTACAACTGTTTTGTGTAAAATGAGAAAAAAAGATTTTTTTTAATGAGGTAAAAAAGTCATCCTGCCAAACTATAGAATGAGAAAAATATAAAAGCCCACCTGAGACATGATCTCAGACAGTATATAATTTAATTAAAACATGATGTTTAGAGGAGCTGGAATAGAGAGCATAACAAAACCAAGATAAACTAAAACCCTAGAGAAACTATCAGCAGAGTTTCCCAGCCTCTTACTCTTCAAATTCCTCGTATCCATTCTGAGAATACTGTTGAACCTACTTTAATCTCCAAGAGCAATTAAGTTAGGCACATTATTTTGCAACTTGAGATTTATAAGACATTCTTTTAGTGATAGCGATTTTTTGGTATAGTGTGCATGGGGCAAGAGGTACCACCTTTCCCTTTCACTTCCATTCTATCATCACAGAAAATTGTATCAGGATCACGTGAGGGAACTTTTCAGTTACCCCTGTACACCCAGAAATTCTAAGAATCAAAGAGTATATGCACTCACATTTTCACATCTTTCCACATCTAAAGTCCATCCCAGTAGCGCATAGTTATGACTAGAATTTTTTAGTTATATGACACCTTTGCAAAATACTTCCCCACCCCATATCTAATTGATTTACACAGATGCCAGGGAGCTTTTGAAGTGTGATCATACGTAAACGTGTCTGGCAAACTGAGGACACAGGAAAGAGTGACTAATAGAAGTCAAATTTCAAGTAGAGTCAGCAGGGGCTTGAGAGAGACTTAATATCAAGGACAAAATATAGGAAGGTTGAGGAGAATTTGCAGAGTTGGAAAGGAAAAGTAGTTTCAGATACACAGCTAATACTGTAATCTCTCCCACCTAGCCTCTGCGTTGGTTTAGATATACCAGAAAGAGAAAAGGGCCATTTTTGCTAACTAAAGGAGCTATCCCACTACTTAACACCTAGGAGTCTAAGTTCCTTGCTAAGGAATCTCCATAACCAAACATATTCTACAGGAGGAATGCCATTCCCATGCCCACTTTGTAGCAGAAGAATTGGGTGGGATGAGAGCACTGATGACCTGAGCCATCAGGCTGGCTGCCTTCTCTGGCAGTGGGTCCTGTTCAGTAGAGGTAAGTGTTGTAGCCCTGCCTAGCATCCACAGCAGTAAGTGTGTGCCTTCAGTTAGATGGCATCAGTGACTGAAGATCCCTAGATCTGAGAGTAGAAGCAAGGACAGTGGTGCTATTGAATCCTAAATCAACAGGTTGTGTGTCTCTGTTGCTGAGACTACCCATAGCAGGCCTTCTGCAGTGACAACAGAGGCAGCAGCAAAAAGCAGGACTCATTTAGGGGTACATGGAAAATATCCTTGAAGAATCTCAGATATATCTGGGTAGAACTTTGCAGGGCTGGAATGCCCGATAATATAGTACAAAACTTTAGCCAGTGAAATTTAGATTCAACTGATGGAATTGTTACAAACTGGTGAGGCCTATAGATATTTGTATTGTATTAAAAAAGGAGTAACTTTATTTTAATCCCAAACTGAAATCACAAAGCCATTTCTGAAACAAGGGTATTAAACATCCATGGTTTATCTTTGCCAGCAGAGTAATTGCAAAGAAACCATATTCACAGAACAAACACTTATTAGGAACAATAACAACAGGGTGGCCCATCAGGTAGGTGATATTTATCAATCATTTATAAAGTATACTGCACTATGCAAGGTTTTGGAAGATGAACAGAAATTCACCAGTTAGACTTAGGTGCTCACAAATATCTCCTGATCTATCTGACTCAAATTCTTCTGAGAGTGAAAAAAAGCATAGTAGTTTATAGTTTATTCAGTAAGAGTCGGAATTTTCTCTATACTTAAGAGGAGTGGAGATAATCAATTATCTCAATTAACTTTTCTGGGAGCTTTCAAAAAATTTAAGCAAAATTAGCATTGGTTAATCTTGAAACATTATCTTGTAAACCTCAAAATGAATTTAATTTCTCAGTTCCTGTGAAATATCAATTCCAGGCTTAGTCCTTCAGTTAATGAGACTGTATTGAATTCAGTACTGCCTCAGGCACTTTTGGCATTTGGCAGTAAGCATTGCTATGGATAAAAACAGTGCTAAAAAGACACCACCTAATTCTTTGAAAATCTAAAGTTTGACTGGGAAGGTAAACGACACAAAATGAAAGAAATCAAGATTATAATTTCCAGAATCTTGTTTTGCCCTTTCTGTGGAATATCTATGTAATCCCACAAATACTTTATTTTCACACAATATCATGTGAGTATTTTTGAAAGAATTATTCAATATGCACAGGAATATAAAAAAGATAAATAGATAATTGATGTAAACAGTGCCTATGATGGAGGAAGAATCCGTTTTGAACAAATACTTTCACACTTGCTGATTGTCTTAGTTCACATTCAATAATGGGCCCATGATCTTGTTGAAGGCCACATATCATAAAGTTAGTAAAAATGTATTCATGGAAAAAGGGAGTCCAGAAAGAGGAAATGGAAAATTAGGTAATATATTTCAAAATAAGGCTGCTGTCTTGTAGGTAACTGAGAACTGGTGAATAATTTTGGTTATGTATATAGCTATAGACTATACACATATATACCTAAGCACAATCAGTTGTTGAATTAAAAAAATGAAATAACTTTTCCCCAAATAATTGGTTTGCTCCTCAAGAAATCATAAACTAATTAAACTTCTGGATTAGAGAAAAATGTAAAGTTATTTACTTCAAGAATCCACTTAAAAGTCAAAATTTCTATACATTGTTTTTAGAAAATGTTTGTCTCTTCAGCCTCTGGTTGGTCCCTCTGTGATGGAGAATTCATAGGACACCAGGGCAGGCTGAACTCCTGGTTGTCTCTTCCCTGCTCCATTATTGCCAGCATTCATTTCCATGGCCACTGGCAATAAATGTACCTCTTGTAGACACTTTGTCACCCTCAATTCACTATCCTTTTGTTCAATTTATTATTATTACTATTTCACTAGCTTTAGGGGTACAAGTGGTTTTTGGTTACATGGATTTATTGTATAGTGGTGAAATCTTGGCTTCCAGTGTTAATTAAATGAAGATGTTATCACCCATATTTCAGCCACATCTCATTTATGATGGTGGATATTGTCATAAAGCCTATGTGTTGTGATTCCTCTTCATCAAATGACATTACTAGAAGATATACCTTCCAAACATAGACAGGCTGGGTTTTCCCAGGTCATCCTTAATATTTGACTTTTAACAGAATTCTGGGCAAAAAATATATTATCTAAAATACAACCTAAGTTTTAATGTGGTATTAGAAGTATTACATGATTTTCAAATTTGAGCAGGGAGATGAGGTTCCAGGTGACAGCAGGAAACAGCAGACTCCTGGCCAGATGAGACTGAGTAAAACAAGGACACCAATCTCTTGGATATGGGACTGCAGCCACTTGCTGGAAACCCACAAACACTGACCAAGCAATTGCTGCTTTGGAGGAGGAACAAGGTAATATCAGGATGGCTGAGGTCTGACTGAGGAGTAGCAAACTAGAAAGAGGAGTAGATCAAAGCACAGACCAGGTATATAAGCAGAAATAAAAGGGTATTTTTTTTTGAGATGGAGTCTCACTCTGTTGCCCAGGCTGGTGTGCAGTGCCACAATCTCAGCTCACTACAACCTCTGCCTCCCCAGGTCAAGCGATTCTCCTGCCTCAGCCTCCCTAGTAGCTGAGATCACAGGCGTGTGCCTCTACACCCAGCTACTTTTTGTATTTTTAGTAGAGACGGCATTTCACCATGTTGGCCAGGCTGGTCTCAAACTCGTGACCTCAGGGGATCCACCCACCTTGGCCTCCCGAAGTTCTGGGATTACAGGCGTGAGACACCGCACCCAGCCTGTTTTCAGGTGTGAGCCACTGCCGCCGGCCAAAAGTATTTTTTAAACCAGGGCTTAAAGAGAAACCTCCTCCAACTGTAAGCTTCTTGAGTTTAACAGCTATGCTTAGACCATAAACATACATATATACCTCAGACACATATCCCTGTCTGAGGGGGTCATTCAATTAATGTTTGATAAAGAATAAATAATTTGCACCAACGGTTTACTTGAGAACTAGACCTCAATCCCCAATTGTCCACTCAATTTTATATTTCATTGTACTCTATTTTAACTTTTTAAAACTGAGATATAATTTACATATGGATCTGAAGGATTTAGTTCACTGACTTAACGAATGCCACCACGTGACCAGGCCGGGCTTCAAGGATGTAAGACCTGTGCAGTTGCAAAGGGACCCATGCGTAGCAGGACCTTGTTCTTGGTTTAATGCTTTGCTATTGCCACTTTGAAATTCTTAGTAACTTTTGAACAAGCAGTCCCATGTTTTCATTTTGCATGGGCCTACCAATTATGTAGCAGGTCCTGCGTGTTATGCACACCTCTATCTAGATACAGAACATTTTAACCACTGCAGAAGATTTCTTCATGCTTTTCATCATAGTTTACTTTTACCTATTCTGAAACTTCTAGAATAAACAGTGTGTTCTCTCTTTTATTAAGGGGCTTACCTACAAAGAATCCAGCAGCACAGTAGGTCTTAACATACAGTTTCTATATAACAGACCAATGACCAGTCTTTAGTAATATGTTTTCATAATCTCTGATCTACCTAGAACATACCAGTAGCTTAATAACTGCATGGCTAAGTAAATGAATAAATGATCTTCAGTGTTTTCTCAGACTCTTAAAACCTGTATCTTCAAGATCAATGCTTGGACAGTGTTTATTTTTCTCTGGAATCTAGGTGAGTACTGAAATATTCCTTTTAAGGATATAAAATTTAGGGAACAAATCAGAAAAACATAGATAACTTGTCCCTTTATGTATTAAATTACCATAAATAACTAAATATATGACATCTCCCAAGTAGCAAATTTTAGAACAATTACATTTTAAAAAGAATAATTACCATTACATTTTATTTTAATGGGGGCCTATAATATTCTCACATGTACGAGATCAAGCTAACCACATTTGCTTAATTACAAAGGCATTTTGTCTACTTCTGATTTCTAGGGTAGAGGCTGACAAGTAATATTAACAATGATAGTAATAAACAATTTCAGTAGCTAATATTTATCTGAGCTCTTATCATTACCAGGCAACACATCAAGGGCTTACACATTTTAACAGTGAGACCTGGGCATGTGACTCATTATCTACATTTGAAAATTAGAAGAATAACTGCAACTTTGCTAGGTTTATTGTGAAGATTATTGGTAAAATGCACACAAAGTCCTTAGCACAGTGTCTAGCATAAAATAAGAGCTTGGAAAACATTAGCTCCTATTATCATCAGATTGTAATTTAAACAAAGTGACAATGCCCACTTTAAAGGTGAAGGAACCACTGCTTGCAGAAATTGATGAGCTTACCAGGTGGGTGCTGCCATGTAAGTAGGAGAGCTAGGAGTGACACAAGTCTGACTCTAAATTCTTGTATTTAACTACTCTAAGTCACTGCCTCCCTGAAATGACGAAACATGTGCTTTACAACTCGAAAGATAAACTGTAATTATGCATTATGTATCTCAATAGATCAATTAATTGTTTTTATCAAAATATTTGCCTATAGCATCAAGTACGCTCATTGTATTTTTATCTTCTAGTGCCGTGATTTGCTCTGAAAGTTCAGTCAAGTGACTTTTGCATACTTTTCAGCAAGCAGTTAGCCAAGGATAGCAACATTTTCTGATCTCATATGCAACACAGCATGACTCTCATTTCGCTTCATGGATGAACAAAGCTAGTCAACAGCTCTATTTGATTCAAGGTCTGCCAGGAACTGTCCTTTCTGAGTTGTATAACACAGCAAGCATGAATAACATTACACTGATTCATCAAGATGTCTCTGTTCCTTGAGTCCAGGGAAGATTTCTGTGTTAGATCGTTCTTGCATTGCTATAAAGAAATATCTGAGGTTAGGTAACTTATGAAGAAAGAGGTTTATGGCTTGAGGCCACAAGTTCAAGACCAGCCTGAGCAACAAGGGAAACCCCCATCTCTAGGAAAAAATTAGCTGGGCATGGTGGCACAGGCCTACAATACCAGCTACTTGGGAGGCTGAGGTTGGAGGATTGCTTGAGCCCAGGAATTTGAGACTGCAGTGAGCCATAATCATGCCACACTGCTCCAGCCTGGGTGACAGAGTAAGACCCCATCTCTAAAAAAAATAATAAGGTTTGTTTGGCTCATGGTTCAGCAGATAGTACAAGCGTGGTGCCAGCATCTGCTTCTGTTGAGGGACTCAGGAAGCTTATAATCATGGCAGAAAGAGAAGCAGGCATCTCACACTGAAAGAGTGGGAGCAGGAGAGTGAAGGGGTAGGTGCTACACACTTTTAAACACAGATCTCCCATGAACTAACTGAGCAAGAACTCACTTATCACTAAGGGGATGGCGCTAAACCATTCATGAGGGATCCACCACCACAGTGCAGTCACCTCCCACCAGGCCCCACCTCTAACACTGGCGATTATATTTCAACATGAGATTTGGAGGGGATAAATATCCAAACCATACCAATCTCTGTAATCATCTTTTAAAATATAACACTACTTCCACAGATTGTTTGCTTTTGACATAGGAAGTTTTGACTTGAAAATATAGGATGTTGTGTTGAATATCTTCTCTGCCCCTCACAGCCGCTCTCCATCCTTTACCACCCTGGGACACTGCCCTACAGAGATTGTGTTGGGAGTTACCTTGTCTCCTCTGCTCTCCAGCAAGGCAGCCACTGGAATAGAGTGGAGGCAACAGCAGGATCAAAAGGAGGGAGGAGAGAAAGATCATGCACTTATGTCCTTCTCTCCTTCCTACTGTGTCACCTCAGGTAAGCTGCATTTTTCAGAAGCCAGCTGTCTTTATACACCTCTCTTACTGCAGTTGTAGTACCCTGGCAGAAGTAACGATTCTGATATTACTGCTCAGGTATAAGCATACCTCAGAGATATTGCAGGTTCCATTTCAGATCACTTCAATTAAGTGAATATTGCAATTAAGCAAATCGCATAAAATTTTTGGTTTCCTAGTGCATATAAAACTTATATTTACATGGTACTGTGGTCTATGAAGGGTGCAATAGCATTATGTCTAAAAAAGCAATGTACATACCTTAATTTAAAATATTTTATTGCCAAAAAATACTAAAGATCATCTGAGTCATCAGTGAGCTGTAATCTTTTTGCTGGTGAAATCTTGTCTCAATGTTGATGGCTGCTCATTGATCAGGATGGTGGCTGCTGAAGGCAGGGGTGGCTCTGGAAATTTTTAAGTATAAAACAACAATGACATTTGCCATGTTAATTGACTCTTCCTTCTACAAAAATATTTCTCTGTATCATGCAATGCTGTTTGATAGCATTTTAACCACAGTAGAACTTCTTTCAAAATTAAAGTCAACTCTCTTAAACCTTGCCTCTGTCTTATCAACTAAGTTTATGTAATATTCTAAATATTTTGTTGTCACTTAAACTATGTTCCCAGCATCTTCACCAGGAGCAGATTTCATCCCAAGAAACCACTTTCTTTGCTCATCCATAAGAAGCAACCCTTCATCTGTTCAAGTTTTATGACAAGATTGCAATAATTCTGTCACATCTTCAGTCTCCAATTCTAATTCTGGCCCTTTTCTTGTTTGTATCACATCTGCAGATATTTCCTCCCCTGATGTCTTGAGCCCTTCAAAGTCATCCATGAGGGTCAGAATAAACTTCTTCCAATCTCCTGTTAATATTGATATTTTGACCCCCTCCCATGAATTGCAATTGTTTAAATGGCATCTAGGATGGTGAATCCTTTCCAAAAGGTGTTCGATTTTTTTGGCCAGATCTATCAGAGGAACCACATCTATGGCAGCTATAATCTATAGAAATATATTTCTTACATAATAAGACTTGAAAGTCAAAATTACTTCTTGATTCATGGGCTGCGGGATGAATGCTGTGTTAGCAGGCAGGAAAACAACATCTATCTTCTTGTACATCTCCATTAGAGCTTTTAGGTGACCAGGTGCATTTTCAATGAGCAGTAATATTTTGAAAGAAATTCTTTTTATTTTTGAGCAGAAGGTCGCAACAGTGGGCTTACAATATTTAGTAAGCCATGCTGCAAACAGATGTGCTGTCATTCCAACTTGGTTGTTTTATATAGAGATAGAACAAACAGATTAGATTTAGTAAAATTCTTAGTGGCCCTGGGAATTTGGGAATGGTAAATGAGCAATGGCTTCAAATTAAAGTCACCAGCTGCATTATTCCCTAGTAAGGGAGTCAGCCTGTTCTTTGAAGCTTCAAAGTCAGCAAAGTGCTGACTTCTCCTTTCTAGCTATGAAAGTCCTAGATGGCAAATTCTTTTGACAGAAAGCTGTTTCTTTTACACTGAAGATCTGTTGTTTATATAACCACCTTCATCCATGATCTTAGCTGGATCTGGATAACTTGTTTTAGCTTCTACAACAGCATTTTATGCTTCACCTTGCACTTTTATGTTATGGAGACAACTTCTCTCCTTAAACCCCATAAATCAATCTCTGCTATCGTCCAACTTTTTTCTGCAGCTTCCTCACCGATCTCAGCCTTCATAGAATTGTAGAGAGGGCCTTGCCTTGGATTGGGCTTTGGTTTAAGAGGATGTTGTGGCTGGTTTGATCTTTCATTTAAATCACTAAAACTATATTCGTATCAGCAATAAGCCTGTTTCAATTTGTCATCATTCATGGGTTCACTGGAGTTACACTTTCAATTTCCTTCAAGAACATTTTCTTTGGGTTCCCAAATTGGCTGTTTGATGCAAGAGGCATAGCTTTTGGCTTATCTTGGCTTTTGACTTGCCTTTCTCACTAAGCTTAGTCATTTCTACCTTTTGATTTCATATGAGAGGTATGCAAATTTTCCTTCTACTTGAACACTTAGAGAATATTTTAGGATTATTAGTTGGTCTAATTTCAATATTGTTGTGTCTGAGGGAATAGGAAGGCCTGAGGAGAAGGAGAGAGACTGTTGAATGAGTCAGCGGAGCAGTCAGTACACAAACAACATTTAGCGATTAAGTTTGCTGTCTTCTGTGGAGGTGGTTTGTGGCTTCCCTCCCCAAATTACAATGGTAAAATCAAAGATCACTGATCACAAATCACCATAACAGATATAATAATAATGAAAAAGTTTGAAATACTATGAGAGTTACAGAGACACAAAGTGAGAATATGCTGTTGGAATTTTGACACCAATAGACTTACTTGTTCAATGCAAGGTTGCCACAAGTTTTAATTTGTAAAAACTGCAGTATCTACAAAGTGCTATAAAATAAAGCACAATAAAATGAGGTCTGACTCTACCTCACTCTCCCTTGTTCTTTTACCAAAGTTTAGCCCACCCTTTCACAAGTAGCACCTTTATTAAACTCTCCTTATATCACTCAACTCTGATTAATACAAGTGACTACATGATATGCCTGTCTGTGCTCTGCAGAGACAGCATTTTCAAAAGACTGTTCTTGAGATCGAAATAAAAAAACTTCAATGTTAAATTAGCTTCACAGACTAGGTTAAGCAAAATTAAATGTGTTTTTACTTTTGAATCTCATACTTTGGGGGGTATAAATATTCACTGAGACTCTATAAGAGAAGGAAATGGTGAGCAGAATTTTCTAAATTTTATTTTTCCCCCAGAGCAGCTTCTAGGACTATAAGGGCAGAATCAAGGTGGGATTTTAGTAGACTAATGCTGCATCCTCCTAAAGGAGGTAATGTAGAAGGATTTGATGGGAGTCATGGCTGCCAGTAACCACAGGCTCCTATCCTGGGCTGGTTGGAACATCTTAAATAGGACCCTGGGAAGTGTCAGGGGAGGCTGAGGTAATCCTGCCAAAATAGTGATGATCTCTGGCTGCTGGATTCAGCTCATTGGTATTTCTTCCACCTCCTCCCTAGTGAGGATTTCTGTTACTGGCTGTCACTTCTTATCACAATCTCTCACAACTATTTCATTACTTTCTTCTCTCTTCTGGCCACATCGCATTTGCAATGAGACTATCCAGTTGTCTTTCTGAAATGAACTAGCCTGCAGATATTTCAAAATATTCTTTCCTCAACCTTTTCACTGTTTACCCTATTATTTTTCCAGGGCTTCGAGGCATTGGTGTCAATGAGAACTGACTTCTATTGTAATTATAAGCCAGTGAGATAGTTTTCTGTTTTTTTTTTTTTTTTTTTTTTGCTTTTTGAACAGCTAACATTTTATTTAAATTAAAAGTGGTAGTTGAACATATAAAAATTTCTAAGGATGCTTCGTGTTCTATGTAAACCTAATATTTTATTTAGAGAACAAGGAATGAAACCAAGGAAGATAGAATGACATCAAAGACGTCAAATTACAAATTAGTGACAAAGCTAAAAAAAAAGTCTAATTTAGCAATCTGGACTCTCAATTCCAATTATGTCTTATTTTACCACACAATTGCTGTCTTCTCTCCTGGCTGCTCTGGGACAAAAACAATCTCATAGAAACTGCTGCAGGTAACCGAACATTCTTTTATAATTTAAGAATAGTCTCTCATATTCCTTTTGCATTTTATGTATCCAAATTTTGGAAAAGTTGACAAAGACATCATCTTAAAAACATCTAACCTAATCTGACTCGAAAAACTATATCTTGAAACCTGACTTCTAGTATGTAAAATTATCAACAGATCAGCAAACTGGCCATTTAGATATCTAATTCCAATGAGAGATGAAAAATCATAGGAAATTGCATGATTTTTATCTTTCTATGTAGAAATAGCAAAGGAAGATTTCTTTCTTTTTTTTTTTTTTTACTTTTTAATTTTCTTTCTTTTTTTTTTTAATTTTTTTTTTTATTATACTCTAAGTTTTAGGGTACATGTGCACATTGTGCAGGTTAGTTACATATGCATACATGTGCCATGCTGGTGCGCTGCACCCACTAACGTGTCATCTAGCATTAGGTATATCTCCCAATGCTATCCCTCCCCCCTCCCCCGACCCCACCACAGTCCCCAGAGTGTGATATTCCCCTTCCTGTGTCCATGTGATCCAACAATGATAGACTGGATTAAGAAAATGTGGCACATATACACCATGGAATACTATGCAGCCATAAAAAATGATGAGTTCATGTCCTTTGTAGGGACATGGATGAAATTGGAAACCATCATTCTCAGTAAACTATCGCAAGAACAAAAAACCAAACACCGCATATTCTCACTCATAGGTGGGAATTGAACAATGTTTTCTGTTTAATCACTACATGATATTAAATATATTATGGGCCATGTTAAATATTTTGAAATATTAGCCTTTTTCTTATTTTTGTGTTCATTGTTGTTTTAGAAAGTTAATAATGCCAGATATCTGAAAGTCAGATAACCTCCCAACTGTACACGCTATTTATTTTGCTCATTCTGTTTGACTCAATTCAGTTCATTTTACTAATGTACAACGCACTGTCAAAATATGTTGACACTCAAAGTAGTTTTAAATAGTACTAAATACTCTCAGCATTCAATGGTTAATTTTTGCATTCTTGGATAAACATATTTAAAAAAATACAACTTTATAGCTTAAAACCTAGACACAGTAATGACCACCTGACTCCTTGCCCACATATTTCTTAATTCCCATAGCTAGGAAGTCTTAACCTCAAAACTGATTCCATCTAGGCCTACTTGCAGGACCAGTCTTAAGTCAAAAAACTCATCCTGAACACCAGAAATTATAATTTTTTTCTTTCCTTATTCTTCCTGAAAGGATGCCTGCCTCCTCCTCTGATTGCAAGGACTAAGCCTCTGTCTTACAAGGGAGTATTTATTAGAATATAATCTTAGAGATACGTCTTACAGTGTAGTGATAAAGGCGAAGGCTCTAAAGTCCAAATGTTTGGAATTTAATTCTTGCTCCCCTAATTGCTAGATTTCTGTGTCCCACTTTTCTCACTTGTCTAATGGAGCTAGTAATAGTTTCCACCTCATCAGGTTGCTATAAGGTTTAAAATAACACATATTAATCACTCTGTAACCATTTATTATCTTAGATCCTTTGAGACTAGGGTTCTGTCTTTTTTCCCTAGCTATATCAGTCAGAATCCCAGCAGGAGACAGAATACAACCCAGAAGATTCAAAAGACTTGAAAGATTCAAGGAACATATAGAGGTGTAGGTAGGGCTAGGAGGGTAAGGGGTTTTGAGGCCCCTGAACACAAGCAACAGTTGGAAGCCATTACCACTCTAGTCTTGAAACCCTGGAATCTAATGACAACTGAAGCTGTAGGGGAGGAGCTGTCTAATAGGAACTAGAGCTGCTCTTATGAAGAAGTGGGGTCACTTCCAGAAACATGGCCCAAATAAAGCATGGGAAGGAAATTCCCTACCTTTCTCTCTTCCCCACATTCAATCACTACTGGTGCCTCCCAGTGGAAGTCAGCTGGCAAGAAATTCTTGGGAAATGAAGTTCATAGCGATAGACTTATCAGTGCAGATAGAGAGGCCAAAAGGATGAAAAATGGACCTCAGGGAAATGCCAAGCAGAAAATATCCAGGATGCCAGTCCTTAAGCAGTTTCTTGTATAATCCAATTCTTTACTTTAGAGTTACAGCTGCCACAGTTACAGATGCTCAGCTACCTCTCTTGACTCTGAATCTGTTCTCCTGAAATTGAGCCCTAAGTTCTCTAGTTCCTGACTATATTTGTCAGGCTTTAACCAAGTCAGGTTGTGCTCTTTGATCCTCAAACCTTGGTTCTAAGGGAGAACTTCTTCCAGAAGATTGTTTTTTGCATGATTATTATTTTTGACAGCCTTAATGGCCAATTCCTGTACAAATTATCATGTCAGCTGTAAAGCTGGCCCAAATTTATCATTAAGACTTAAAATAACAGAATGAACATTTTATTCTTTGTTGCTTTTGGTCATAAGTGCAGAGAGATAGTGTGGAAAGGGAAAAAATAAACACTGAGAAATGGAAAATAGGAAAATGAATTATTGAGGGATAATTCCCCATCAGTCTCTTACATTTCTGTATGTCTTAAAAGCATAGGCACTTATTCCTTTTTGATAAAGACTATATTTTCAAGAACCTTTGTATAGTGAGCAGCCTTGGAAAATAGAGATAAAGCTTTTCTCAAAAGTAGAGGGTGTGTTTGCTTACTGCCCGTTATAAAATATTCCTGGTCCCTAAATTCAGCATTCCTCTTCCATAACTCAATCCCCTATGTGTGTGGATGTGTCATCTGGCTCATTTCATATTACCTTGCAGGAACTGAGACTCAGGCAATGGCATACATGCCAATTATCTGTCACAGGTATTGACTGTGATAAACTGTATAATAAACTGAGTATGAAACTATGATCTGTGTATACCACATATGGGTATGTGGTAGCATACACAAGCATACCAAGAGACTTGTGTATGCTACCAACATACTGTAGGCTGAATGTTTGTGCCCCCGACCATGATAGGATAGTCACCTTTTACAGTTTGAATGTGTCCTCCAAAAAGCATGTGTTTGAAAGTTCATCTCCAATGCAACAGTATTGGTAGGTGGGGCCTAATGGGAGGTGTTTAGGTCATAAGAGATCCATCGTCATTAATGAATTAATGTTGATTATAAAAGGGCTTGAAGCTATGAGTTCAATCTCTTACTCTCTTGCCCTCTGTTTACCCTTCTGCCATGTGATGACACAGCAAGAAGCCCCTATCCAGTTGCTGATCCCTCAACCTTGGACTTCCCAGACTCCAGAACCATGAGCCAATAAATTTCTGTTTATTATAAATTACCCGATCTGTGGTATTCTGTTATAGCAGCTGAAAACAGACTAAGACAGTTTCCATATAAGGGGACAAAGAGACCAGAGCTCCTTCTCTCCCTACCATGTGAAGGTATAGCAAGGAGACATCAAACTGCAAACCAAGAAGTGGGCCCTCACTAGGAACTGAATCTACTGGTACTGTGATCTTGGACTTCCCGGCCTTTAGAACTGTGATAAATTTCTGTTGTTTAAGCCACCTGGTTTATGATATTTTGTTATAGCAACCCGAGACAACTTAGGGCATCAATAAAACTGTGGCATGATAACTTGTCAGGTTGCCAGTAGAATAAAATCTCAAACTCTTGACAATTGTTGACATACACTTCTACTTTGTTTAATAATACGGACTTCTTAGATAATGACTTATTTGGGAGCCATGCTAATGAGAGGCACTGTCTAGTGTAAAAGACACGGTTGGCCATTTCCAACTTTTTACCAGTTCTCACTCTGAAATAAATTCAAAATTTTTTGAAAGACACAAAATATTTTACTTAAATGGTGTAAAAGCCCATACAAAATATTCATACTGTTTCATCACTGAATAATAGCATGTCAGCTTTACACATTGTAACATATCTGGCAGGCTGAGGAAAAGCCCTATCCCTGAGACATATACGTATATATACACACGCATATACACATACAAACACATGTATCACACAAACACATATGCACACGCACACACATAGTCCATAAGACTAGATTATGTTCTGGAACCAGTTATCTAAGAATACAAAGTATGTTTAAAAAGCAAAGTAGCCTCAACTTTGCTTTTTAAAAAAAGCAAAGCTGTGAGAAAGCCTAGCTATGAGAAGGCCTAATAGGAAACACAAGCTGTAAATGTCATATTTATGCAAAGAATGGTCTCACTGCATCCAGAACACTTAATTCTTACAGTGCAACCATCCTTTTATTCTTCTGACTCACATCACCTTTTTAGAAGCACTTGCAATAAAAACCAATGCTTTGTACTCTATAGAAATGCTTACAAGCATAGGACTTTCTGGGATTTGAACTGAAATCAGATTCAGCAAATCTTCAGCCTGATATTGGGGTAGTGGGTGTGTGGGTGTGGTGAGGAATGATAGTTTAGCTTCAGCTTTCCAGGTGAGCCCACGCCCTCACAGTCATCCTTGCATGAAGGGAATTAGTCAAGAGATAATATTTAGAGTGTTTCAGTTTCATGCAAATATCCAGTTCCCCTAAAACCTAAAGCGATAATGAAAATTCTGTAACTTACACTTCACTGATTTGCATAAGCCTTGCCCATTCCCTATATTCTTATAAAATTGTCATAAATGTTTCCATCTTTAAAATAACCAATTAATAACTTTATACGTGGCAGGGCCTGTGGTAGCATGAAGGAACTAGATACCTGTGGTAGAAGGGAGGGAGATTTAAAAGATATGAATGTACAAATGAAGAAAAAAATTATTGTACTGAAAACTTAACCTTTATCTTTGAAATAAAAATGCTATATTCCTCCCCATTGTGCCTAGGTAGGTCCTAGCCAAGAAGGCAGCATAATGCAATGAAAATAATAAAGACTTTGGATTTGAAGTTAAGCAAAGCAGGCTTCTAATACTAGCTTCTCTCTCATTAGCTGTGTGACCTTAAGAAAGATAACCTGTTTGGGCTCTAGTTACCTGATCTATGCAAAACTCAAAACAAAAACCTGTTATGAAAGATTATTGACAACATAAAATGTTACAATTCATTAGCACCTGTAACATAGCATTCTGTGTCAGCCAATGTCATTATTATTATTAATTAGTATTATTATCATTAACCATTAAACTACATTATTTAATCCCATCACAGGGTGTACTCACACACACACTCACAGTTGCTCAGACTGGACCATTTAGACACAGCAATTAACCAAACATGCCCATTTCTGAAGGTGTAGGAGGAAACTAGCATACCCAGAGAAAACAGATATCTATAAATAGAAATCTATCTATAAATAGATATAAATAGATATCTATAAATAGATATAAATAGATATCTATCTATAAATAGATATGTTTTCCCAAATTAAATCAGATTTAAGTGATATGTCTGACTATATAAACAGATCTCTTACACTTGGATGTTGATTCTCATACAGTCAGAGCAAAGCCATGGTGAAGAAAATTCCTCTGTGCATATATAAATATTGGCGAGAAGGAGAGGAATGTGTATGTATTTTACATGTGTTTAATATACTTATTATTTTTACAACACAAACAATATAAATTAAAGTGTGACTCTTGAAGGTTGAAAGTCTGCAAAAGACAGAGGGGATGCAGAAACATTGTGGGTTAAAAATGACAGCTCAGAGGACACTATGAGTCAGAACTAGAAACCAGAAGTCCTTCATTTCTACTGTCTTGATAAAAACGTCTAAATCACCTATTTTTTCTGTGCTAAGTTTCCTCCTTAAGTATAGGTTAAGCATTCATCCAATTTTTTAAAACATACACATTAGATCCAAACCATGTACAATTCCCAAGTGGGGAGGTCACCTCCAGTCCCAGCACTCCTGGAAAGTTCTGACACATGTTCACCCATATGGATCCATTTGTCAGCCTACTTTGTAAGTGGTCCAGGCCTGAAAAAAAGGGGTTGCAACTTCTCTCTTGCCACAAATAACCTTGAGAGACTCTACAGGTTAATGGAAGATGTCACTATAGGCGTGAGAAATGGTGGTTGATTTATGTGCCAGACTCTTCCAGCTGATTCACAAGTTGTAGGCCATGCAGTGTCTCAGGAGGGCTTTCTTAGGAAATAAGTTTCTGTTTGTTCTCCTTTAGATAGACTAGATATTAGTATTCATAAGACAGACGTCTCCAAAGCAGTGCCTGTGAGCTTAAATACAAATATGAAATTAGTCATTTGTAAAGCAGATTTACATATTTCTCTGATGGGCTGTAAGATTCTGATTTTGAGTACTAATTCATGTAATTCATGTTTTAATACATTTATAGTGGCTCTCAAATTAGCTTTTCAGCCAACCATTGGGAACTATTTTTGGCTTGTTGGACTATTAATTCCAAGTACAAAACAAAGTCTTATGAAAGAATGGGTAAAAAATGTTGTCCTTTAAGTTACACAAAGAAGCAAAAACTCCCCCCAGGAAATTAACACTCTAATTATAAACTTTCTGGTTGAGAAAGTCTTGAAAAGCTTTGTTTCTTTTATGAAGTCATTTGGTTTGGCTTCATTTATTTTTTCCCATTCAGAACATATGGGAATATTCCCAAAACAACAGAACAGCTGGTCTTTTCAAAATAAGAAAAAAAAAATTTATGCTACTAACACTATAGAAAAAGAAATCCACACTGTTGGCAAAACAGCTGTTCTTATTTCTGAAGGATATGGCAGTGGCTAAGGCAACATGTTTTCCTGCTTAAATTACAGTTTTGGAAAAGAGAAACATCAATCGTTGTTTATAAATCAAGTTGTAATCATATCAGTTCCCTTCTTTCAACTTAGTCCACTTAGAATGTTTCCAGGTATTGAGAGGATTATCACACTGTCCAAATGTTCACATTTTGAATGACTTTCTCAGTTTACATTTAAATAGTTGACATCTTATAGTAGGCACAGGTCTTCTGGAAGTTACTACTCTACACTGTATTTTCTTCCAATTTTTCAGTTTTACATGGCAAGACATTGACAAATGTTAATGATGAAGGAGAAAAGAAGCAATTTAACAAATTGAAAATGTATGTTCAGAGTTCAAACAATATCCTAAATTATACTTTATATGCCCTCAGGGGTAAAATGGAATTTAACACCCTGAATCAGTCTCTCTTGGTCCAGTGGACACAGGACTGTGTCAAATCTCAAATTCTCTCTTAACCCTCAGCTTTGTTGCACAAAAGTGACAAAAAACTCATATGTACATTGTCCACAATTCAAAATCGAATCTACAAAAGTATTAGTCTGATATTTTTTGATAGATATATACTTCTTAGCAGAAATAGGTGAAACTTGAAAATTGCTTCCCTGAATTAAAAAGGATGAATTACAACAAAAGCTATACAAATAATTGATTAATAAAATATTTTAAGATTCAACAATAAAGAATCTATGTGGTAAGCCCCTACCCCTGGCAAAACCAGAGCAAGATGACAGTTCTATATGGCAACCTAATTGATATAATCTGTAGGTCACCAAAATGTTTGCAACCGACCAGCAAATTTCCACATCAGACTTACTAGTTATTGGTTTGGCAGCAAAGTGGAGGCTATTTTCTTTGTAGGCTATTTTCTTTGTTGAGCCATCTTATTCATGTCACGTTGCAGTGAAAATAACTACTTTTAAGTTCCTAGTGTTGGCCAGAAATGGAGCTCAATGCTTTCCACACCTGATTTACCTTAATCTTTGCATTATGCATGTGGCTTTGGTAAAATTACTTCATTTTAAAAATGGGCTGGTGAACTCAGAGAGTTTTATATTATGTCATTTATCTTAAAATTCTTCAGCACAGACACTGTGATATACAGTAAGTTCTCACTTAATGGCAATAGGTTCTTGGAAACTGACTTTAAGTGAAATGATGTATAATGAAAACAATTTTACCATAGGCTAATTGATATAAAGAGGAATTAAATTTGTACAGCATATTTCTGGTCACAAAACCATCAGCGAACTTCTAAATAAAGACTAAACATACTTCCAACATTATACATTGAAATAAATGTGAACTATATCTACATATAAAAGATTAATGAAAACAAACAAGATAATTATTTACTCATTTTTTGGTGAATCAGTGATGGCGGGTTTAATCCAGGAATAAGTGTTTGCAAAATGAAAATGGTCAGGAGTCCCTCCTCCCACCATGCAGTTCAAAAGCAAACAGTAACAAATATGGGGCCGGGCGCGGTGGCTCACGCCTGTAATCCCAGCACTTTGGAAGGCCGAGGCGGGCGGATCACGAGGTCAGGAGATCGAGACCATCCCGGCTAAAACGGTGAAACCCCGTCTCTACTAAAAATACAAAAAATTAGCCGGGCGTAGTGGCGGGCGCCTGTAGTCCCAGCTACTTGGGAGGCTGAGGCAGGAGAATGGCGTGAACCCGGGAGGCGGAGCTTGCAGTGAGCCGAGATCCCGCCACTGCACTCCAGCCTGGGCGACAGAGCGAGACTCCATCTCAAAAAAAAAAAAAAAAAAAAAAAAAAATGGAAGGTCCCTGAGTGCTTTCACACTGCGTTGTTTATTGTTGTGCCTGTAAGATTACCCTCTACTTTACGAATTTTTACTAGGCACTAATGTCTCTTCATTCATTTATTTCCAACCCGCTTATTCCAGTGCAGGGTTGCAGGTGGCCAGAGCCTATCCTGGCAGCTCAGGGTACAAGGTGAGAACTGACCCTGGATAGCACACCATCCCATCACACACACACACACAGTTGCTCAGACCAGACCATTTAGACATGGTAATTAACCAAATATGTCTACCTCTGAGGGTATGGTGGGAGGGAAACTAGAGTACTCAGAGAAAACCCGTGCAGACATGGGGAGGACGTGGAAACTCCACACAGAGAGTGGCCCTGGCTGGAGATCTATTTTTTTTTTCTCATCAACATTATACTGTTGAAATAAACAATGCTACTCAAGGACCTGCTGCAAATATCTGATATTTACTTTTATTTTATCCCTTAATTAGTAACATCTGAAGTATTTAATTGGGAAAACAAATGCCAAATTTAGTCAGCATTTTGAAAGACTAATCGAAATCCACAGTTCAGAAGCTGATACTCTAAATTCTTCAATTATCTTTATCTCTGAACAAAACCAGGATTTTGTGTTAATTAATATAATGGAGGATATTAGCATTAACCAAAGAATTGCAGGTTGGTTTTGGTCAGTCTGCAAGACCGGTTACATAACTTGCCTAAAATGGCGTAGCTGGGATCTAAACAGGTTTTTCTGATTCAAAGACACTTGCTCTGAAATACTGTTTAATACATTCTGACCTTATCTTCCATCAGCATAGAACTGTGGATTAGTTTATTTGAACTTTGACTGATAAGTAAATGATACTTAAGACAAATAAGCAGGGAAAGGGAAAGGCAAGAATCTCCCTACCAAGACTGTCATACATATATATGATGCCACTATACAATTCTTATCTTAGTCAATCAATGTCCAAGCACCTTCTCCATTCTCTGACACTGGGCATCTATATTTGTTTTCCAGGGCCTCATAACCAAAATCACATATTAGGAGGTTGAGCCAACAGAAATTTATTTTCTCATAGTTCTAGAGACTTGAAGTCCAAGATCAAGGTGTCAGCAGGTTTGATTTCTCCTGAGGACTGACTCTCCTTGGCTTGGAAGTGGCCGCCTTTCACTGTGTCCTCACATGGCCTTTCCTCTATGTAACATGCGTCCTTAGTGGCTCTTGTGGGGTCTAATCTCCTCTTCTTAGAAAAACCTACTCCCATTGGATCAGTGCACACCCTAACAGCCTCATTTTAACTTCATTACCTCTTTAAAGACTCGTTCTCAATACGGTAGCATTCTGAGGTACTAAAGGTTAGGGCTTGCATGTATTGGAGCCGGGGGATACAACTCAGTCATAACAGCATCTAATCGATCTCCAAGTCCTGGACATTTTGTCATCCTTTTCTCTTCACAGGCATTTTTGGTCCCTTGTGTAGGTCATCAACACATCCTGCCCACTCAATATAATAGTCTTCCCACAGCTGATCTTACACATATCCATAGGGTTTTATAGACCAGTGTGTTGCTAAAATTTTTGGATAAAGTCTTGTTTTTGAGAATGTACCCTCAATACATACAGATATGTTTATATAAATATGTTTAGAATTTTTATCAATGTATTAAATATTACTCTGCCTTAATTTAATTGTTGGTTTAACAGAATAATAAATGTGATTATCTTTATTTCCTTTTAGCTCCAAAGGCTGAGAAACACTGCAAAAGTAAACCCATAGCTAGATCCCACAGAAAGCTGCTAAATAACTTAAAAGAATGAGCTAAGAGATGGTAAAAACCTATTCATTAAGAATTAGAGATCACTCATGTCCAGTTACAGAAAGGCTGAAATTCATTTGGAGTTTGAAGAGTGCTGTGGAGCCACCTCCATCCAAGGGGAGGTGTTTCCCTGTACCCGAGCCAATTGAGAGGTACTTTAAGGAAACGCATCAGATAGCTTGACAGGTGACCCTAGGGTTTGTGGAGCTTAAGAACTAGTATGAGATGCTAAAATTAGACCAGCCCAAGGTAGAGGAGGGAAGGAGAAGTGTGTGTGTGTGTGTGTGTGTGTGTGTGTGTGTAAGAGAATGTTAGTGAGCCAGGGTGAGGGTACTGTCCTGGGAGTAACCTGCATATTCACTGAAGATGGGGCTGAAAGTGAATACACACATGGACCAGACAAGAGGAAGCTCGTCTGGAGACACCTTGGAAGGGTCTCCATCCAAAAGGGCTAAAATAATTCTGAAGAGGGGTGGATTTCGGGGAATCTTGGGGGTGTGAAAGGGTATAGTAAGTGGTCAGCTGAAAGACAAAGAAAGAGATAGTGCTCATGTCGTCCTCATGGGGTAGGAATTGCAACTCTGTGTTCTGAGGGGATGAATCTCCTAGAAAATTCTTGCCCCTCATGGCGGCAAGAATCTTCACAAGATACTTCTTCCTTAATCTTTATTTCAGTTAATTGTTTAACTACTGAGTAGAAAAAAATACAGGTCGTTTTATCACTGAATTGTCAGTACTTTTTTTTTTTTTTTTTTTTTTTTTGAGACAAGAGTCTCGCTGTCGCCCAGGCTGGAGTGCAGTGGCGCGATCTCGGCTCACTGCAAGCTCCGCCTCCCGGGTTCACGCCATTCTCCTGCCTCAGCCTCCCAAGTAGCTGGGACTACAGGCGCCCGCCACCACGCCCGGCTAATTTTTTTGTATTTTTAGTGGAGACAGGGTTTCACCGTGTTAGCCAAGATGGTCTCGATCTCCTGACCTCGTGATCCGCCCGCCTCGGCCTCCCAAAGTGCTGGAATTACAGGCGTGAGCCAGTCAGTACCTTTTAAGACAAATTTTACTCAGCAAGCTAGCACTGAGGACAAAGCATTGCTTTGAGACACACTGTCTGTGAGATGGTTGATTTTAAGCCATGATACTATATTAGCAGGTTGTTATTCATAGACGCACTGATTAATAGGCTTTTGTCCTTGCAGACTCTACACACCGGCCCATTTCTCCCCACCTTTTTTCTTAGCCTCTTTTCACCTGAGAAGTCCTGGCACATCACACATCCCAAAGACCTACTGCAATGGTATTTCAGCCTCTGCAAGGTTGTACTAATAACCTGCCTTTGTTGCTCAGTGAATGGAAAATGTGTCACTTCAAAATATTTGTAGATCCATCTTAGCAATTTATCTAGAGTAGAAAGAAGCTCTGCAGGCTACCAGTGACAAAATTGAAAAGAAAACTAAGTTCTATTAGCAAAGAGGTGATGAAATCCAGCTTCTCATAGGGGAAAGGAGTAGGTTGGAGTAAATAATTTCAAAGATCGTTAACTCCTCTCTAAAGACAAGCTCTGTTGTGTTTCTCATGATAACAAAATTTCTTTTTCAGCATTTGAATACATGTCACTTAACTGTCAGCACTAAAAAAATAGATTTTGTTCAATCTTACTACCATTGTAAGTAATAAAAATAAAGAAAAATATAATGGATAATTCTGTGAAATGAGCAAAAGTTGTCAATTAATTGTAATATTTAATGATGTCAAGGTACAATGAGGAGATCCCTTTAAAATACAGCTGTTCAAAGCAGGAACTTTTCAACATATATCAAGAGATTTAAAAATACCAATACTCTTTGACCTAAGATTGTACATCTAGGAATCTGGCCTAATGGAAAAAAATGTCTGCTTACAACTGTGTTCATTACAGTGATATTTACAGTATTTTTTAGAAATGGAGAATGATTAATAAGTTAAGGTTCATGTACAAAATATATTCAGTTATGTTTTTGTGGAATAATACATAAGAACAACTTAATGGTCACTAGCTGTCAGGTACTATTTCAGTGTTTTGCATCTATGGACTCAATCCTTATAACAACCCTACTAGGTCTGAACCATTGTTATTTCCCTTTATATATGTTAGTAAACTGAGACACAGAAAGGTTAATATGCCCAAAATGACACAGCTTGTTGGAGTAGAGCTGAGATTTGAACCCAGGCCTCCTGGCTCTATTATCCACGCATCAACCACCACATCACAGGCCTTAGTTTGCTAAAGTTACCATATGAGTGCCACAAACTGGATAGTTTAAACAAAAATTTATTGTCTCTGAATGCTGAGGCCTGAAATCACAGTGAAGTGTTGCCAGAGTTGGTTCCTCCTGAGGCTGTAAAAGAGACTAAGGCATCTGTACCAAGCCTTTCCCCTAGTTTCTGGTGGTTTCCTGCTATCTTTTGAATTCCTTAGCTTTTAGAAGCATCCTCCTGACCTTGTCTTCATCTTTATGTGGCATTCTCCCTGTGTGCATGTCCGTGTCCATATTTTATCTTTTTATAAGAACACCAGTCATATTGCATTGGGGCCCATCCTACACTAGTATAATCTCATGTTAACTAATGACCTCTGTAGGGACCCTATTATTGAAAAATAAGGTCACACTCTGAGGTAATGAGGGTTAGGACTTCAACATATGAATTTTAGTGGGACATGGATCAGTACATAACATAGCTTACAACCATGTTAATATTCTCACAACAAAATAATAAGTGAACAAGAGCAGAAAATATATATAAACACATACACACACACTCACACAAACACTGTGATCTCCATTTAAAAATAAACACATTGGGAAGGGGTGGAAAATATACCAAGTTATAATATCATAGGTCTTACATTTTTATTATCATTTGTATCTTACAATAAGCACTTGATACTATTGCAATCATTTAAAACACAATAATGAGCTGGGTGCAGTGACTTATGCCTGTAATCTCAACTATTTGTGAGGCTGAGGTGGGAGGACTGCTTGAGGCCAGGAGTTTGAGACTAAGCTATGATGACACCATGGCACTCTGGCCCAGGAAACAGAGTGAGACCCTGTCTCTAAAAAAAAATTAAAATAAAATAAAATGCAGTAATGACATAATTCTATCTGAAAAGAGGTAGAAACATTTTTTTCAAATTTATTAAGATTAGATTGTGTACTGCTGAAGAGCTATGTTAGTGATTTGTATACATAGGCTAGGCCATATCCTGGGCCATGATTTTAACTTAAGGGTCCATGTCCCCTGCTCCACATTCTGCAAACACCATGTTTTGGTCCCATGTTTTTCCCCACATCCTATTTTTCTCAGCTCTTTAAAGAACAACAACTTGCTGCTGTGTGGCCTTAGGATATTATCTGATAGAACTTTTGAGGAAAGGCTCAAACAGATACATCTTGAAATTTTAGCAGTGTCTCCCTAGTGATTTTCAAAGTGGAGTGATTGCACACCAGATGTTGTACAAGATCACTCACTTACGGTGTGAGGACAATATGAAGACTTCTCTTAATATATATTTAGATACCGATATTTACTACATGGGTTGGAATTCTTACCTTGCTCAGAGCCCATATCAGGTGGCCATCGGTCTGGTACAGTATTACAGTATTCAGGTACCCTCTGGGAAGAGTGAGAAGGTTGAAGAGTAAGAGTCACAGGACAAAAGAGGGGAGAATTGGGCCTGTGTTAGTTTCCCAGGGCTGTCATTAAAAGTTATCCAAACTTAGTGGCTTACAACCACAGAAATTTATTCTTTCACAGTCCTGGAGGCTAGAAGTCTGAAGTCAACATATCAGCAGGGCCACACTCCTCCTGACGACTCCAAGGAAGACTCTTCCTTTGTCTCTTTCAGCTTCTGGTGGCTACTGGCAATTCTTGGTGTTCCTTGGCTTGTGGACACATCACCCCAATCTCTGCTTCTGTCTTCCCATGGCCATCTTCCCTATGTCTCTGTCTTCTTTCCTGTCTCTTATAAGACATCTGTCATTAGATTTAAGGCCCATCCAATCCATGATGATCTCATCTCAAGATCCTTATCTTAATTATGTCTACAAAGCAGCTTTTCCAAATAAGGTCACAATCTGAAGTTCTAGGTGAACGTATCTTTGGGGGCAAGGAGAATGCTATTCAACTTGCTGAAAACAACTTACCTTGTTTTCAGAATACTAAAACATGCTTCAGTATGCATGTATATAGTTAGGTGGATTTATATATCATATTATTTAGTTTTAACCAAATTAATCTTCACAAAATACACAAGTGGATCAAAAAATTTTAGGCAAAACACCCCACATATTGAACACAGCAATCGCACAAGCCCAAGAGAATAGGGAAATTGAAAGGCTGACTTTTATCCCATCCTCTGTATAAGCTCTTTGTCAGCCATTGAAAACTGCCATAATAACATAATCATACCTAATGAGAAGTAGACTAAAATGTTTAAAATGATCAAGAAGTTCATTTGAAATATGGACTTACATTTACTACCATTAATAATAAATCTTATATAGTGTGCCTTGAGATTTTTTTAATGATAGTATGAAGTCATCACAATTAGTAAGACATGTTAAAACCAAGCACTCAGAGCATGAAGGTACTGCTCCATAAATTTTTTAGCCATGTTTAAAAGTCACTTTAATTTTACAAAATTAGCTCAATTTCATGGCAGACATAAAATTGCCTTTTGAAGGTTCCTCACTGTGAGAAAAATTATAAAAGCCACATACTATCTAGGAAACCTTTATTTTTTCCTCCTTGGTAAAAATTAGCTGAAACATGTACAATATAGAGACAGAATATGCCTCCCCTGTGAGTAAACAGTAAACAGAGAGCTAAAAATTTGAAGAAACCAGAACTTGGGACAATAATCTACACATTGTCAGATATTTTCTATAAAGTTGTATGAAAGTGTAGATATTTCTAATATGACTTACCATATAGTACTTGCTAGATTCCATTTCAAAAATATAATACTTCAAAACTATTTTTTGTGCACCACAGAAATAAAGATGTATTATACAAGATATGTCGTTGACATTCTGTAATTTGTTAATGTCTTTTCCCCACAAAATTTACATTACTACATTAATGGAGCAACTATTTTCACAGGAATACAGAAAATATTTTGAGAAAAAATTACGGACATGCTTTCACTCCATTCACTTCATTGTTCACAGGCAAGCTATTGCAGCAAAATCAAAGCTAGGAGTAACAAAGTACCGCTGGAAGTCTTTGATGTAATTCAATTTTAAGAAGATTTTAAAAATATAATCGAGCCCTTACAATAGCTCAGTAATGGTGTGGGAAGTGAGCAAGAGAAATCTATTGCACAACCAGGGATGCATCCGTTATCCTGCGTCAAAGTTTTGAAACAGTTGTTGAACTAAAGGTGAGTGGTGCATTTTTCTTTTATAGGAAGACATCTGTTTTAAATTTGCTGACTTGTTCCCTGGAACATGTGGCATTTGGTAATATGCCACTTAACAAATAATTTTAAAAAGTAATAACCATGCAAAATATGTCCATGTGATGTAAAGGTGAAGTTTTAATAATGAACAATAGACAAGCTACCTTTTTAAAGAGTTAAGAAGATAATTGTTAAAAATGACTGCTTTGAAATCTTTCTTTTTATATATATATATTTTTTATTATACTTTAAGTTCTAGGGTACATGTGCACAACGTGCAGGTTTGTTACATATGTATACATGTGCCATATTGGTGTGCTGCACCCATTAACTAGTCATTTATGTTAGGTATTTCTCCTAATGCTATCCCTCCCCCGTCCCCCGACCCCACAACACGCCCTAGTGTGTGATGTTCCCCTTCCTGTGTCCATGTGTTCTCATTGTTCAATTCCCACCTATGAGGGAGAACATGTGGTGTTTGGTTTTTTGTCCTTGCAATAGTTGGCTGAAAATGATGGTTTCCAGCTTCATCCATGTCCCTACAAAGGACATGAACTCATCATTTTTTATGGCTGCATAGTATTCCATGGTGCATATGTGCCACATTTTCTTAATCCAGTCTATCATTGTTGGACATTTGGGTTGGTTCCAAGTCTTTGCTATTGTGAATAGTGTCACAATAAACATACGTGTGCATGTGTCTTTATAGCAGCATGATTTATATTCCTTTGGGTATATACCCAGTAATGGGATGGCTGGGTCAAATGGTATTTCTAGTTCTAGATCCCTGAGGAATCGCCACACTGACTTCCACAAGGGTTGAACTAGTTTACAGTCCCACCAACAGTGTAAAAGTGTTCCTATTTCTCCACATTCTATCCAGCACCTGTTGTTTCTTGACTTTTTAATGATTGCCATTCTAACTGGTGTGAGATGATTTGCATTTCTCTGATGGCCAGTGATGATGAGCATTTTTTCGTGTGTCTCTTGGCTGCATAAATGTCTTTTTTGAGAAGTGTCTGTTCATATCCTTTGCCCACTTGGTGATGGGGTTGTTTTTTTTCTTGTAAATTTGTTTGAGTTCTTTGTAGATTCTGGATATTAGCCCTTTGTCAGATGAGTAGTTTGCAAAAATCTTCTCCCATTCTGTAAGGTTGCCTGTTCACTCTGATGGCAGTTTCTTTTGCTGTGCAGAAGCTCTTTATTTTAATTAGATCCCATTTGTCAATTTCAGCTTTTGTTGTCATTGCTTTTGGTATTTTAAACATGAAGTCCTTGCCCATACCTATGTCCTGAATGGTATTCCCTAGGTTTCATTCTAGGGTTTTTATGGTTTTAGGTCTAATGTTTAACTCTTTAATTCATCTTGAATTAATTTTTCTATAAGGTGTAAGGAAGTGATCCAGTTTCAGCTTTCTACATATGGCTGGCCAGTTTTCCCAGCACCATTTGTTAAATAGGGAATCCTTTCCCCGTTGCTTGTTTTTGTCAGGTTTGTCAAAGATCAGATAGTTGTAGATGTGTAGTATTATTTCTGAGGGCCCTGTTCTGTTCCATTGGTCTATATCTCTGTTTTGGTACCAGTATGATGCTGTTTTGGTTACTGTAGCCTTGTAGTGTATAGTTTGAAGTCAGGTAGTATGATGCCTCCAGCTTTGTTCTTTTGGCTTAGGATTGACTTGGTAATGCTGGCTCTTTTTTGGTTCCATATGAACTTTAAAGTAGTTTTTCCCAATTCTGTGAAGAAAGTCATTGGTAGCTTGATCGGGATGGCATTGAATCTATAAATTACCTTGGGCATTATGGCCATTTTCACAATATTGATTCTTCCTATCAATGAGCATGGAATGTTCTTCCATTTGTTTGTGTCCTCTTTTATTTCATTGAGCAGTGGTTTGTAGTTCTTCTTGAAGAGGTCCTTCACCTCCCTTGTAAGTTAGATTCCTAGGTATTTCATTCTCTTTGAAGCAATTGTGAATGGGAGTTCACTCATGATTTGGCTCTCTGTTTGTCTGCTATTGGTGTATAAGAATGCTTGTGATTTCTGCACATTGATTTTGTATCCTGAGACTTTGCTGAAGTTGCTTATCTATATGTGTTACAAAAAGCAATACAATCTAGTTTTTGTCATCTATAAAAGCTCTTATACCTGTACACTTTAAGAACTTGAGAAGAGTCTATAAGACACCTGAAAGGCATCAAAATTTAGGAAAGTGTGAGAAACTGTCACAGTCTATAGAGCCAACAAAGATGTGAGGATTAAATTTAATGTCCTATTCGGGAACAGGATAGCGTAAAATGAGACAGTTGGTAAAAAATTAGGAGAATCTGAAAGAAGTATGGACTATAGTTAATACATATCAGTTCATTAGCTGGGTGGGAAATGTCCATATTAGTGTAAGATGTGATCAATAGGAGAAATGATATGGGCTAATTGGGAACTCTCTGTAGTATCTGTACAACATTTCTGTAAATCCAAAACCATTCCAATATTAAAAACTTACTTAAAAAATAAACTTGTAAAAAGAATTTTCCGACTTGTTTATAAATCTTTCATACAAAGGGTTGCAGTAGGTTTTGAACTCATATATTAAACACGTAAAAATGCAATATCTTCTAAGTCATTTGAAAATTTAATAATAGAGTTTCTTTTTATGACCGTTTAAAAAGAAAATTTAATAATAAATATCAGAGAACTTACTAGCCAAACTTTAATTAAAACATTTACATGATTAGCACCTGAAATGAAAATGAAAGTCACAATTTGGTAAGTACAACTAACACTGCATCCCTTCCATTTGCATGCAGTTATCTTTTTGAAGTATCTCTTTAACCTATGACAGAAAGTACAAACGAGTATCCAAATACAGTGAACGTGATCCTCAAATCTCTACATGAAAAACTGTAATCCAAGAGTTTGAAAATAATGAGCTATTCCATCACATTGCTTACATTAAATTATTACACTAGTGAGAGGAAAGGGTTCTCTATAATCATTCCATTAATAAACTACAAATAAAAAGTAGTTTATAATAATTACATTTAACTTTCAATACATCCACTTTCATTTCTAATTGTGTGTATGTTTTCAAATGCATGTTTATTACTCGAAAATATTGGTGGCTCATGCTCAACATTTTTCAGACAGGGTATGCAATCTCCAGATTTAGAAATCGCAGATCTATCTTATGGACAGCTAACTGATGGCATCTCTTGTTGCTACAGCAGCATCTACATCATGAGGATGATGTTCATCTCTCATACTTACTTGGCTCCTTATTCACTTTGAGCTCCTCCAAAGGCACATGTGCACGTACGCACACACAAACACACAGACATGCACAAAACACAAATCTTGTGTACACAGATTGTATATTCAGTTTTGATTTTCAATATTTAATAAAAATAAAAATGGTTTAATTCTAAACAAGGCAAGTTACAGGTGGGAAGGCGAATTTGCTCTACAAGGACCCTCTCTAGAAGACAACATGAATGGTGGTCAGAAGTTGTGCGGACTGTGCCTGTGCTTGTGCCTCTCCAGTGTTTCCTTCTACACATCCTCAACCATCTACTTCTGCATGGCCTATAAGGAGGGGAGCCATATGAGTTTTTATGCAAACTGAGACATTTGACAGAGTAAAAGTGGGTCACATTAATAGATATTTTTGGACGACATATGTAAACTAGGATTGTGTCAGACAAACCTCCCCATGAACCAATACAGCTTAATAGTCATATGCAAAGGATCTGAGGCCAGCCCTGCCATGGCTCAGATTCAAGCTCTATGCATTACTAATTGTATAAATTGGCCCACTTTTTAATGCTTCTGTGCCTTAGTTCTATAAAATGGACATAATAATAGTACCTACCTTATAGATATTATATAAGGATTTCATTACCTAATATAGATAAAACACACAGACCAGAGGCTGGTGCAGTGAAGACCCAGTAAATATTCTCTAACTACCTATACAGAGATATCTCCCACTCCAAGTGAGGCACATTGAGTACCCCAGCCTTATAACATTTGACCACTCCAGAGGTGTTGCATGCTGCACAGTATTGATGTGTTTATGTGTCTACTTCTCCCATGAGTGTCTAAAACTCCACAGGGCTGAGACCGTGTGTGCATTGTTACCCCCTGTATCTTATAACCATTCCAATGCCTGTTGTGCAATAAGTTCTTTCGAATGGATAGACCTACACTTTTAATTTTTAAATGTCTTGGTAATAGTTTTGTATTGAAAAATGGCAAAATATCCCCTGACTAGTCTACATATTCCTTGAGGAACTTACAGACATGTCTTATTTTTGGTCTTAATGAAACATGTGCCTTGAAAAATACTCGGTAAATATTTGTTGAATTGAATTATTAGAAGTATGTCTCTAAATCACTTATTCAAATATTTATTGAGCACATTCTAGGCACTACATGTAAAGACAGAAAAAAGTTATCTTCATGAATCTTCTAGTATGAGAGACAATAAATAAGATACTCAAGTAAAAAATGGAAATATAGAAGAAAATAAGGTAGAGAAAAAAATGAGGGGCAGTTACTGTAGAAACCTATTGATGGGTTACTATACATTCCTGCTTTTCCCAGGAAAATTCTGCTTTATGCCTATTGTTTCAGGATAATTGTTATCAGTTCTCCTTTTACCCCCAAAAGTGTTCAAATATGGAAAATAAGTATATTGTCCTTCCACTTATAGTCATTGCAATGACTTTACTTTCACTATGAAAACGGGAAGACATTTTTGTTACTTTACTGAAAATAGATGGAAGGGGGCAGGTTCAGACACAGGAAGACTAAATAGGAGACTACTGCAATGATCCATAAGAGAGAGGATGGTGACTTGGACTTTGGTGGTAAGAGTGGATGTCGTGGGAAGCAGTCAACTATGTTATTTGTGTTGAAGGTATAGCTATCTAAATTTGCTGATGATCAGATATTCAGAGGGGAAGAAAGAAGATAATCAACACTAGTCATAAGGTTTTTCATTTGGAAACATGGACAAATAGAATTCTAACTTACTGAGATGGGGAAGACTATAAGAGGAGAAGGTTTTAGAGAGGTTTGAGATGATTTTAGAACATATTGGATCAGAAATGCCAAACAGAAATCCAACTGATGGTGTAAAGGCATTGGATCTATACGTATGGAGTTCACAAGAGGGGCCTAAGCTTAAGTTATAAACTTGAGAGACAGCGAAAAGTAGGATTTGCTTGAAGTCAAGACTGGCTGAGCTTACCAAGGAAGAGAATACAGACAGAGAAAAGGAAGCCCGTTACTCTTTCTTCAAGTATTCCAACATGAAGGAGTTAGAGAAATGGGGAGGAAACCACACAAAGATTGAGAAGAAATAGTCAGAGAGGTAGAAGAAAGACCAGGTCCTGAATAGTGTCCTGCATGGCAAGCAGAGAAATTATTTCCATGATGGTCATATGGAATACGAGGTCAAGGAATATGATGGCTGAGAATCGACTACTGTCCTTAACAACATAGAGGTCACTGAAGCATTCATAAGGGGAGGGGTTTTGGGAAAGAATGGGAAGAGAGAACTTAGTGATAGAATGCATCAACAGCTTTTTCAAAAATGAGAAATATAAATAGAGAAGTGTGAGGTGGAATGACGTCAGGAAAGGTTTTTTGCTTGTTGGTTTTGTTTTTTTAAGGTTGGAAACATAACATATTGGCATACTGAAGGGAATGATTTAGTACAGGACAGAAACTGACAATGTAGAAATGAGAAAAGAGGTGCTGGGGCAATGACTTCAAGGAGGTGAGACACAATATAACTTTGGAGACAAATGAAGCCCTAAGCAGGAATATGGAAAGCAAATCCAAGGGAAGGTAGCATATGTGGCCACAAATGCAGGTAAGTGGGTAGGTGGGAGCATGTGACTTTTCTCTTTTCATTGTTTTGATGTTCTCCATGAAATTAAAGCAAGGTCATCAACAGTGGTAAGGATGAGAGAGGAGGTGAATGAGGTTTAGGGGAATGGAGAAAGCATTACACACTTGTAAGAATGGAAGAGCGATTGGGTGAGAAATTGTAGTATTGGACAGGGTGGTAGGTTGTGCTAACATGAAAATATTTACTGCCCCATCCTAGAGGTTTCTCTTTACCATGCTTGTTGCTGTAAAAAGATTAAGTTTCCCATTCTATTGGTGTTAGACTTGAAAAAGTGACTTTCTTTAGTCAATGAAATAGAAGTGGAAGAGGAATATACTACACTGGAAGGCAAGGCTTAAGAAATATCTCTGGTTCTGCTGTCTTTTCATTTCCTTTCCATAAGAATAGCAACAACCCCCAGAAGAAGCTGCTCCATTAGTCCAAGTCCCAGAGTAAAGAGTTGAAGCTGACCCATAGAGCACAAAGTGAATAAGACACAAATCTTTATTGCATTTGCTACTGAGACTTTGGGGGTTATTTGGTATCACAATACAACCACCAGACAACATTGTCCACTATAGGCGGAACTAAGGGCCCACTTGAAGTTATTGTCATGAATAGACTAAGCCATGTTGGAATGACTGTGGATATTTTTTCCCCAACCACATTCATCTGCATGAAGGCAGACGTAGTATGAGTATAGAGTTTGGTTTAAACAGGGTTGTGAGTTATAAGAAAGTGATAAATAGGCAAGAGATTTGAGAGTTGAGATTTGAGATTTGAGAATTGAGAATTGAGATCTGAGAGTTGAGATTTGAAAAGTGACTGTGAAATTTAAGAGAAAAAGAAGAAACTGAGGGCACTGAGGAAAAGTCAAAAGATGTTGGAGAAACAGATTGAAGGTCTTGGTGACAACAGAAGGATTTTTGGAATTGAGATACCAGAGGGAGTGAACTGAAAAGACAGGAGGTTTTGGTCAGAGCATGGTATGTTGCTTTGATGGGACAGCGGCCAACACTGGCAATGACAAGGTCTAGAGCAGTGCTACCCAAAGTACAATTATGAAACAGAGCCAGTCTGTGAAGCTCAAAAGGGTCCATGATGAGATAACTGCAAAAATGGGTACTAAACAAGTACAAAACTTTATAACAATTTGACAGTGCCATGATACCCAACCATCTGATCAGTGAGCTGGCATTTCTTTAGATCTACATTTTTATTACTAGCTTATTTTTATTTCACTTTCCAAAAGTATCAATCTATGATGAATTAAAAATTACAAAGCAACAAAAACAATATAAAAAGAAGGTTTCATCTTCCCAGACAATTTGAGAAATTTGGTAAATGGCAGCAGTTATCAACTTTTTGGTTTCTGGACCCTTTTACAGTCTTAAAAATTATTGATTCCAAAAATATTTTTAATGTAGATTATATCTGTTGATACTGCATTAGAAATTAAAACTGAAAATGTTTAAAATATTTATTTATTAAAATAACAAATACATTAAATAGTAACATAATAATTTTAAGAAAGATAACAATGTCTTTCCAAACAAAAAAAAAATTAGTGAGAGGAGTGGTACTTTTTCATGTTTTTGCACATCTCTTTAACGTGTGGCTGAATAGAAGGCAACTGGATTATCCTACCTGCTTCTGTAGTCAATCTGTTGTGGCATTACATGTCATGTAACCTCTGGAAAACACTGTACACATGTGAGATGAGAAAAAGAAAAAAGGTAAGTAACATCTTGGTAGTAGTATAAAAATGGTTTTACACCATAAGCCCCCTGAAAGTATCTTGGAGACCTAGGATACATTGGATTACTTCTTGAGAACTGCTGATCTAGGGTACAGACAATAGAATGAGTGCCTAAGGAAGACTGTAGGACAAGAGTATTGGAGGAGAGAAATTCAAGAAACGGAGAGGCCAGAGTGGAAGTCACCAATACCTATGGCATGAATTGCACTAGGGAGAATGGTAGTATGCGAAGAGCTAGCAGTCTTCAGGACATGAAGGCGGGGTCAAAGATAAAGGGGTTCATCTTGTGTTTCAGGAGCAGTGAGTTGCAGAGTCTTCCTCTGGAAGTTTTAAAATTTGAAAAAATCATTAAGAAGAAGAGTTCAGCTTAATTAAAAAAATCAGAAAAACTGATTAACTCTTTACAGAACATTAAATATGATAATGCCAAAATAATTCTAATGATTGAAATGCTTTGAGTCTCTCCTTGGTGTGATTTCTGCTCATTTCTAGCTAATGGATAGTAATTAATTGTAATGACTTTATTACCAACAGATCTAGATGATGCTAGCTAGCCATGGTTTCCTTTTTTGGACATTATAAATCCCTTCCTATGGTACAACAGACCAATAAAATAGGCATTACAATCCTTCAAGAAGCAGCCAATAGTTTATAAAATCTAGACGGTGATTGACTTGTCTGGTTTTATTTTCTGCCAGCTATTAGCAGCAAAGGTCAAAAAAGAACTATAAGTCAACTGAAACTTCAAATGAATGTACATCTCTCTTTTTCAGACAAGTGAGACCTCATACTCCCAGGAATGTGCAGATCAGAAATCAAAGCAACATCTTTGGCTGAGCTACAGAGATAGAAAACTGGGATTTCAAGTAGACTTAAATGCCATATTTAGGAAGGGTTTCAAGTAAATCACATCTAAATCCCAGACTTCAATTAAAAGGTAATGAACCTTGTTCATTTCTGGCATTTCAAAAAAGATCTTAGGGCATAAGAAGGAAGTAGGGGAACAGGACAATAGAACAGAGGGCAGGGATGCCCTGGTTTCACTGATGAAAACATTATTTAGCAGAAAAGGAATGATTTGTCAAAGTAACATTCATATTCCCAGAGTAATTAATTTTCATTCCCACCACTGAGCATGAAGAATTAGAAAGTACATGAAGCAGAGAATTATAAATGTCCCTGGGTAAAAAATGAGAAGCACTTGACAGTACTGGTATTATTTAACACCCAGCGACCGCCAGAAGTGAGCAGGGCATCATCCACAACAATGCAGTCACATGCCAAAGCTGTGTCAGCTGCTGTGGTGAGCAGGAGCCCTTAAATTTCATCAGTAATGCTATCTGTCAATCTGGATTCAATAGCAGTTTAAATTCTGGTGACTGTTTAGGAACGCTCTGCTACACTATTTCACCACTACACTACTGCCATAAAGCAAACCTAGCGATCAAAAATGCTTGATTGATTATGGGCCCATTAAGGATATCTTCACTTTGATTCATGAAACATGCATTCTGTGCACTGGAGGAAGAAAAGCTCAAGTCACAATTTGCAAATTTACAAGTCAGTGTATTGCCTCCTTTTCCCCATCGCACCCCACTCCATTCAAACTGCAGTATTTTGAAGGAGTGTAAAAAAGTTATTTCTTTTATTAAAAGAGCTGTCGGAAGAGCAGATACATAAATGTGGGTGAATAAGTCACAGGATATTTACCCTTATTAAATTTTCATTCCTTACACTCATCTGTACCCCAGGTATGCCATGCAATGCTGGCTCTTCTTTCCCTAGAAAAGTCAAGAATAGTGGTATCAGGCATTTGTACTCCTTGTTTCTATGCAACAAGAAGACTCAGCAAATGTGTGTGAATGATAAAGCACAATGTAGAGAGCTTAGCACAAGAAAGATGAAATAACAGAGCACTAAGAATAAAGGAAATGATGTATTTAAGCATAATGATGCTAATATGCACCCTTTAATGAGAGAGAGAGAGAGAGAGAGAGAGAGAGAGAGAGAAAGAGAGAAAAGGTGTATGCTTAAGAATCCCTTCTAGAATTCCAGAGAAACACAGAGAATTCCAGATGTGTAATTTCTGTGTGATCATGTTCTGTGTGATAATGAAGTCCTCAAGTGGGAGGTGGGGAATCTTCCTTCATTCATGTTACATCTTTCTCCAGAACTAGCATGTCTCAGCCAAAATATAGCTGTATATGATACCCTAACACAATCCAGACAGGTATATCACTTTTCCTTTTTTATTTTATTTTTTGAATTTCAACTTTCATTTTAGGTTCAGGGGGCACATGTACAGGCTTGTTAATATGGTATATTGTGTGATACTGAGGTTGAGAGTACAATTGATCCCATCACCCAGGTACCAAGCATAGTACTCAGTAGTTACTCCTTCAACCCTCCCTCCCCACTCTATTAGTCCCCAGTGTCTATTGTTGCCATCTTTATGTCCATAAGTACGCAATGTTTAGCTCCTCATTTAGTTTTCTGCTTCTGCATTAGTTCATTTAGAATAATGGCTTCCAGCTACAGCCATGTTGCTGCAAGGGACATGATTTTATTCTTTTTATGGCTGTGTAGTATTCCATGGTGTATATGTACCACATTTTCTTTTTCCAATCCACTGTTGTTGGGCACCTAGGTTGATTCCATGTCTTTGTTATTGTGAAGAGTTCTGGTATGCCCCTTTTAAACAGTGCTTCAAAAGAAGCAAAATAAAAGCCTTTCATCCATTATACTTTTCTCTATCTGAAATACATTATTTTTGATGCATAGTTCTACTAGTATTTTCTAGTTGATCCTTTTTAATTCTTAAGATAAAATTTTGCAATTGGATTTCTAAAAAATCACTACAGAAAGGTAACACAAAGTTTTGGTAAGTGGCCCACTAGTGACAATAAGTTTACACTGAGCCCCATTCACATTACATTCTGCACTGCTTTGGTGGAGAAAACTATGAAAACATTTATATATACACATAGATTTTTCTATAATGTTTAATTCTCTTTAACATGTGTTTGGATTCAATGACTATTGTGCATGCTCAAGGTCAATTTGTATATTTTATTTATATCAAGTTCAAAATTATGTAGATCCCATTCAGACTCTGGATCATACTTAAATGATGGCATTTTGAATGGTGCTACTAGTTCATAAACTAGCTCGAGTTTAGATTAACTTTTTTTCAGGGTTGTATACAATATGTTAACAGAGACCAAAAAAGTGATGACAAGGGAAGTAATAGAGTGTTTGAAAAAATAAATACCAAAGACAATCACTTCAAGGAAATCCTTGCATTTAGGTAACTTATGGTGTGTTTAGACAAGTGACATATTTGGATTGTTTGATGGATTGTTTGATGTTACAGTTTAGCAAGGGGATAAAGCAGAAAGTAATTCAGCCATAGTCAGGCAGAATGCTTTTCTAGTCTACTAGAAAGCTCTCGACATGGCAGAAATGATGAGTTTCGTGGCTTTTTGAAATTTTTTCAAAGCATATTCATATATATTATCATATTTTATTCTCACCACCATACTATGAAGTCAGCACAACAGTTACTTTCACTACATGTGGTAGGAGAAATTGAGGCAAAGATTCGTCTAGAACCATATTAACTCTCTTGGTCCCTTGATGTGAGAGATTGGGATAAGGTCATTTTGTGACTCCTAGCAATGTGAGGACCAATGTGGTTAGTACCCTGGGGCAGAATTTCTCAACTCAGCACTGTTGACATTTTGGGCTGCATAATTCTTTGCTTTGTGGGGGCTGTCCTATGTACTGTAGGATGTTTAGCAGCATCTCTGTCCTGTACCCACTAGATGGCAGTAGCACCTCCCTCAGCTGTGACAACCATAAATGTCTCCACACATTGCCAAATGTCCCCTGGGGGACAAAACTGCCCCCAGTTCAGAACCACTGAACTGGAAACAACTTCAAAGAATTTACATGACTCCCCTGCTCTCGGTAGCCAAGGAAGCCGACTGGCTTGGAGACATTTACCACCTACAGTATATGAGGATCTGAGGAGATTGCCTTTAGGCATAACACAGAGTTTTTGAAGCACCATTCTTCCTTTCAGCCTTTTCCTCTCATCAGGCACAAGAAATTCAACATCACTTACTGTAAGATTGTTGACACCCGGTCATCATCCAATGTACCTTGTCTGTGAGAGAAATCATCTTGAATCTGAGAGTGCTGAGCCACTGGGCTAGCAGGCTGAGCACCAAAACTCAGGACTGACTGTCATGAACAGGAGCATCTAGCTGAGGTTGCAAAAAAGGACTGAAATAAAACCCTCACTCCAAAGTCAAGGTGTGAGACCTAGCACAGTGGTATGTCCCTCAAGGACTTTCCCGATACCTAAAGGTATAATTTAGGCCAGCAGTGCTACTGGGACATGGTCAAAGGACGAGGAAAGAGAGGAAGTGAGAAATGAGGATTCCAGGGGAATGTCAACACTACCACCATTTGGCATGGATGACACCATGGACCCAGTAGTCTCCTTGGGAAAGTCAACTTCAGGTACAGTCACCCTACATATGGGTCACCTGCTGGGCACTGGGAGTCCTGCAGCAAGAGGCTGTGTGATGAACTGACTGGAATAAAGTGGAGCCGAATGAAAGGATTTAGCATAGAGAGAATTATTAGGGGTGAAACCCCCGAACCAGAACTAATGGAAGAACTAACAAATCGTTAGCAGAGAAAAATGGGATAGAAACCTTATCATCACCGACAGTCAACTCAACATACACAGTCTTATAAGAAATTATCTTCTTCTGTCTCTTCCCTGCCCCCGAACTAAAGATTGCATATACAAGGGATAAGAGGGCCCCTCCACTCCAAGATACTAGAACCATAAGTCCACCTGTGGTCAAGCCAGAAAGCATTTTAAATTAAATATAAAATAACAATTTTAAATAAACAGGATTATATTTCAAAGCTAGGATAAGACTGTTTTAATAGTTAAATGTAACTGAAAATGGTAGTTAGACTAAGATGCCATTGGGGAGCCTGCCACCCAGAGGAAAAGGTTTTGGTAGAACACTGTTCTTAACCATTTTGGAGAAAATAAACCATCTCATGTTTATATCTCGTGAGCTCAGTGGCCAAAACCAACCAGTTACACTGAAAAACTAATTCTTAAACACAGATGCATTTATTTCTTCCTAAGAAATTGGTCTTTCTGTTCTCACTTTTATTCTCAAGGACAATTAGTCAAAATCACCTAAATAGGCAAAGCTTTTTATCTGTCATTGAAACGCTGTATGTTTCTTTCTTGTCAACAACAAGAAAATAGGAACTCCCATAAGGCACTTATTTCCTCTTCTTTAATGAGACAAGGCCTTAGCAACCACCTGACAAAGAAGCTCATTTTTTTAAGCAACTTCAGCTTCTCTCTAATTCCCTGTAGTTCTGCTGCAGAAAGTAACTCTAACAACCAGCATTGCAAATCTTAGAATTTTATTCACTCTGATCCTCCTTGCTAGTGCCATCATTGACAGGTGTTTGCCATACAGGGTGGAAGTTTCTCCTAATGTCAGGAAAATTCTTGACATCCTAAAAACTTAGATAGATAGAACATTTCTATTTCTTTTGCCCCTCTCCCTATTTTCTTATTTGTAAAGGGAAACAAAGGTATTTACTACTCTGAATGAAAACAAAAAGCAGACAGGAGCTTTCGAGTTCAATCAAAGGCTCTAGGGGTATAAACACAAGAATAGTGTCTTTCTCAGCCCCAGAATCACAATAGTCTGTAAATATCCCCCTTCTTAAACAGGGCTCCCAAATAGTTCTTTTTTGTTTGTTTGTTTCTTCACGCAGACATTGACCAAATCATTTAGTTATCTCCTTACTTATTCTTATCTGCATGACACATATTCTGTTCATTGCCCATGCAATGTTCCTTCCCTACTGCCTTAGAAAGACAATCCCAATTTTGTTTGGGGTGGCTAGAAACTCAGCTGAAAGATAGTATTTCCCAGTATCCCTTGTAGTCAAAGTGACCATGTGACCTGGTCCTGGCCAATGAGCTATAATCATGTTAGGTGGGAGTTCCAGGAAAGCCCTTTTAAGACAGGACAAATAGCTACTTTCTCCTTCCCGTTTCTTACAGCTCCAAAAGCAATTTAGACAATCAGCGACCTTGAGGGTTAGAAGCCAGTGTTAAAGGTGAAAAGGCAGACCCAGAGTAAAAGCCTGGGTTTCTGAAAACAGAATCATATCAGTTCACAACTGCTGACCCTTTATGCATGTATCCGTTAACTGTTATTAGGGAGTTTCTGTTATATACAACTGAACCTACTTATAACTTACACTGAAGGAGCCCAGGGAATTTCACCCCAAGATACCATGGTATGCTGATAATTTAAAATTAATGGCCTGTGAAGGTCAGCAGATGCTGGAAGAGGCTTATCTCTGATAGTCCCCTTATTTACCTTAAGAGTGGACCAGCCAAAGAGAACACAATAGCATTCTGTTCCCTCCCTGAAATCTCATTGTTTATCACAGAAAAGAACACTGAAGAATGCAACCACACCTCGATGGACTTTCTTACAAGATAATTCCTGACTCTCAGGATCATTCAGATTCCAAAGAGAATCATTTACAAGTTAAATTCTGTCTTCCAGGTCCCTTTATTCTCCTTAATAACCACTTATTACCCCTCTAAAGAATTACCAATGTTCCCCATCTCCCCTGTTCCCTGTGAAGGGTAAATAAGCATCTGTACCCCATTAAGTTGTTGGGTAATCACACTGCTATGAACCCTCACCCTCTGCACATTAAATAAATTTTGTATGCCTTTTTCTTCTATTAATCTGCCTTTTGTCAGGTCATTTTCAGCAAACATTCAAAGGATAAAAACGAAGCTTTCCCCCCTTTTCCTCTACAATACCAAGATAATAACAGGGAAGAAAAGGCATGGATAATCATAAATTATGGTGGAAACACACCTACAACTCTTGCCAAGCTGTCAAGGGCAAGAAAAATAAGATGAGACTGAGAAACTATCACACTTTGAGGAGACTAAGGAGACATGACCACTAACGTAAAGTGGCATCCTGCTTCGATCTTGGGACAGAAAATGATGTTAGTGGCAAAACTGATGAATCCAAATAAAGTCTATATTGTACCAACATTAATGTCTTCATTTTGACAAATGTACCATGGGTATGTCAAATGTTAACATTGGGAAATTTGGGTGAAGTGTTTATGAAACCTCTCTTTACTATCTTTGTAACTTTTCCATAAGTCTAAAGTTTCTCAAAAACAAAAATGTTTTAAAAAAGTATCAAATTATATTGAACTCTCAATTAAAAGAAGCAAGTTAACAGATTAATATGTCAAATGCAGTTAACAAAAGCTATCACAGTATTGGGAAGGTGGGCAAATGGGAAGCTAGTTCAAAGGTTAAAGCATAGGGTAGGAGGTCTACCTAGTCAGTCTCCACCTCTGTGGTCTTCCCTTCCCCTAGCCCAGTCACAAAATTTGTCTCTTCATCAGAACCAAGAGAGGTGGGTGCCAGCTTCCTGACTTCCAGCTTAAATATGTCTCCTTGAAATAACTAATATAGATGATGGGTTGATGGGTGCAGCAAACCACCATGGCACGTGTATACCTATGTAACAAACCTGCACATTCTGCACATATATCCCAGAACTTAAAGTATAATAAAAAAAAAATTTAAGTCTCCTTTCACTAAATTGTAAACCTTTTGAGGAAGGAACAATTTCTTATTCATTTTGGTGTCCTCATGTCCTAGCTCTTACTCTGACACATAATCATCACTTAATTGATGTTTAGTGAAAAAAATGGCTTGTTTTTTCTATTAGATGAAGGAAAGTAGTAAAAAGAAATCATAAATTCACAGGATTCTGACTTTGTTCCCTCCTCTATTTAGCCTAAATCCTCTGATTTTATCATTATCCCTCTATCTCTCTATACTTATTCTCTTTCCATTGTTATTGCCTTTGAAAAACCCCAGCTCTGGACAATTCTAAGGATTTAACTTCTCTACTCCATATCCATTTTCTTAAGCACCAGCAAGACCATAGTTCTGTGATAAGTGAAATATGAATCAAACTCCGCAGCAGTTGTCTTTTTCCAGTGGCAGAAAAACAGATATTTTATTAACTCATGGCATTCTAACTCTAGTCATTATTAGACTTATTTGGCATATTTGCCTGGACTGCTCTTGAACACCCAATTTTCATCTAATCTTCTTGGCCTTAGGAGTCAATGTAGTCCCCCTACTTACAAAGAAGTTTAGCTAGACTTCTCCATCCATGGTAGATCCCTTGCCTCTGGATTTACATCACAGACTATGAATACGCTTGTCATAACACTTTCCATGCTGTTCTGTAATTTATGATTTACATTTCTGAATTCCATAATATACTGTAAGCCCCTGAAAGGAAATGCTAATACCTACTACAGTGCCTGGCACATACATACTTAACAAAACTTGTAAAAGAATGGAGGAATAAAAGAAAAGGAGGAATAAAAGAAAAGGAGGAATAAAAGTAAAGGAGGACGGAGGGGAGGAAGGAAGGAAGGCAGGCAGGCATTATAAAGGCAGCTAGAAAATTTCTCAGTAGACAGATTCTGGAATAACTCATTTTAAGCCTGTCCTAAACACCAACCCCTACTTCTCAATTTGCTGCGAAACCTCCTATCCATATATGCCTTCCAGTCACGTTGACATTGCTATAGTCCCAGTTTCTCCTCTGCTATGCTCCAGAGAACAACTTGCTGGAGAATGTGTATATGAACGCAATATACAAAACCATAAAGCCTGGAAGGCTGTGCTCTCTTTTTCTAATATGCCTGTAGTCATACACCATTTTCATTTAACTCTTTTAGTTTGCCTCACCCTGCCTCTCTCTGTGAATCTGGGTACTGATTCCCTGGGTCTCAGCAAGAGATTAACTTGAGTGATACTTCATTGTGATAATTTTAGAATTATCTCTCTTCATTGATTCCTAATTAGAATACACCCAAAAGCTTGAGTGACTTGACTGTTTTCTATCAATGTAGTCCTGACATCGCTAAACAACTTAAGGGGTGGCTCCTACTATCTGATCACTTAGGAAACTTAGCAGAGGGTCAGTGGAGGCAACAGCTGTCAGGTTGCAGTGTGTCCAGTCCTCCTCTTTCACACAATCTTCTCAATCTTCTGGAACCCACATACAAATAGAACTCCTGATAACTAGGTCATCAGCTCCTCCAACAAGTACGACATGCTTGTTTTCAAGCTTAGATATTGGCCTCTTGTGCCCTTGTTCTATTAAAAACTTGGAAAGAGATTTAGGTCAGCAAACACTTTATAAAGGTCTCCTTGGTAAAAATGTGTTTGAAGTTTTCATGTCAAAATAAAAGATGAAGGTTATAAGCCTTCAAACTGCTGTACCTACAACTCTTCTTAAGATATGTAGGAGTTCACTGTTAGCTTATTTATGTGAAACAAACACACGAATTCATTTCAACTAGGATTCACTGCCTTTCCTTTCAGGAAAAAATATTGATGGAAACAAATAGTCTAAAGACAAGACAATTAGCTTAGTGGTTGTTCAATTAATAGTTGTTGCACTGTAGAAAATTTAACTTTAATCACAATTTCAACTTCTATTTGTTATGCGATTACTCATAATTCTATACTGCCTCTAAGCTAATGATGGTGGGCATTCAAGTGAAGATGTCCTGTAAATAATTGGAATGAAAAATTAGAACAGAGCTAAGAGGTCATGACCAGAAAAATGGATTAGAAGTTATTCACAGCAATTAATAGTTTAGTAAAAAGATTCATTCTAGAGAATAAGAAGGCAGAGCCTTGGAAGACATTTGCTGCTGACAGACAAAAAAAAAGAGAATGAAAAGCCAGGAAAAGAGAAATTTACCATGAGGAAGATATTTGGAGAACAAGGCAGTACATTGTCATTGAGTTCAAAAAGTATTTCTTTTCCATGTATCCTCAGTACCTGGTACAGTCATTTCTCTGTAAATATTATTTCCCATGTGTATGTGTGTCAGAAGGTTGGGGAGGTCTCCGTAACTATTTGATAACTGAATAACAGGAGGTTAAATTGGATATTTCAGCTGAAGCACAATCCAAATGTAGGTGCTAACTAAAGATAAAAATTCACTTTAAAAGTTACAATGTTAAAACAATAGAAGTTTCCTTCTCCCTCACGTAAAATCCAAAATGTATTTTCCTGATTAATTTTTCTCTGTGAAGCACTGGTTCAGAACTCAAACTCTTTTAATCTCATGTCTCTGCTATCTTCAACACCTGGCTTTCAAGATAGTGGTACATTGGCTGTGCTTATCTGCATCAAGCCATCAAAATGGGAAAGTGGCAGATTTCATTCTTCCTCAGGTTCCATTGATGAGACTCAATCTCTTAAAACCCACATAGATGCAAGAGGAGCTGGGATATTTAGCCCCTGGATGGACATTTTTTTCAGACAACTACAGGATAAGGGAACTTTTTTTGCTGGATGGTTTTCTCTTAAATGAGTTAATAGTTTTATCTGTACAATAGTTCAAGTTAAAAGAATTAACCTGGTTTAAAGTACTGTCAGAAGAGATGAAAGAAGAGATATGACAGATTCAAATGAAGACTTAAATGAGAACTATATTCTGGGACAAATCATACCAATCAAATGGCATAATATTAAGCAATTCCCTAGTCTTATCTTATTGAATTAGTGCAATAAAACGTCTCTGTTTCTTGACTCTGTTACTGTTAATGAAAGGGAAATAAATTGTTCATCTTTTGAAGTAGAATTGGCACTTTTGGTTCATTACGGCTACTAAGCTGCTGAAAGTGATTATTCTCTTGCAACTGGGCAGGAATGTTTACCCTAGGGAGAGGGTGGTAATTACAGGCCTATAATTAAAATGTTTTGCTATTTAGGCAGAATAAAGTTGCAGGAAATGGAGTATTATAACTTACTGAGCACCTAACTGCAGTCACACCTCATTTTATTGTGCCTCACTTTATTGTGATTCATAGATAATGTGTTTTTTACAAATGGAAGGTTTCTGGCAATTGTGCATTAAGTAAGCCTGTTGGCACCGTTTTTCCAACAGCATGCGCTCACTTCATGTCTTTGTCACATTTTGGGAAATCTCACAATAGTTCCAACTTTTTCATTATTATTACACCCCTTATGGTGATCTGTGATCAGAGATCTTTGATGTTACTATTGTAATTCTTTTGGGTGCCAGAAACCATACCCATACAAGACAGCGAACTTAATCCATGATGTTGTCTTCTGACTGCTTAACCAACTTGGTATTCCTCTGACTCTCTCCTTCTCCTCAGTCCTGCTTGTTGCCTGAGACACAAGAATAATGATAGTAGGCCTATTAATAATTCTGCACTTGATATATGAGTTAAAAAGAAATTATTTAGGCATATAGTGAGGATAAGGAAGTCCTTGGTAAGGTTGTCCTTTTAATGAAAAGCAGCCCCCAAATTATTTCTTTTCTAACAAAGAGCAGCCTGTAAAAGCATGCTGCAGACATAGATAAGCAAGCTGGAAGCTTGCACAGGTGAATGCTGGCATCTGTGCCAATAGGAAAAGGCTACCTGGGGGCTAGGCATGTTCAACATCATGGCTCCATCTTCCGTTTTTCTTGCCAACCACCTGTGCAGTAAGGAGCACACAACATGGCACTAGCCAAGAAGAAAATCCATTTGCATAATAAGATAAGGGTGGAGTAGCCAGCTTCTTCACACACTGTGTAAACATCACACCTGGCCCAACCAATCTTTGGGCCCTATGTAAATCAGACAGCACTTCCTCAAGTCAGTCTATAAAATCTGGTGCACTTCACTACAAAACCAGAAGACCCACTCGGGAGCCCCTCTCTCTCTGCAGGGGAGAGAGCTATTCTCTTTTCTCTCTCTTTCACCAATTAAACCTCTACTCTTAACCTCACTCCACATGTATCCATGTCCTTGATTTCCTTGGGATGAGGCAATGAACCTCTGTATTAACCCAGATGAACAATGCTACTTCACAATCTCCTCTAACTGTTCAAATGAAAGAAAAAAATCTCACATCTCTCACTCTGAATCAAAAACTAGAAAATGATTAAGCTTAGTAAAGAAGTCACATCAAAAGCCACGACAGGCTGAAAACTAGGCATCTTGTGCCAGTTAGCCAAGCTGAGAATGCAAAGAAAAAGTTCTTGAAGGAAATTAAAAGTTCTTGAAGGAAATTAAATTCCTTCTTATCACAGGAATGACAAGAGATGGCCTGAATGGAAGATCAAACTAGCCACAATATTCTTTTAAATCAAAGCCTAATTCACAATGAGGCCCTAATTCTGTTCAATTCTGTGATGGCTGAGAGAGGTGAGGAAGCTGCAGAAGAAAAGTTGAAAGTTAGAAAGGTTGGTTTATGAGGTTTAAAGAAACAAGTTATCTCCAAACATAAAAGTGCAAGATGAAGCAACAAATGCTCATGGATAAGCTGCGTCTGAGTTATCCAAAAGATACAGTGCAATCATTGATGAAGGTAGCTACACTACACAACAGATTTTCAATGTAGGTGAAACAGCCTTCCATTGGAAGATGCCATCTGGGACTACCGTAGCTACAGAGGAGAAGTCTGCGTCTGGTTTCAAAGGACTGGATAATGCAGCTGGTGACTTCAAGTTGAAGCCAATGCTCATTTACCATTCTGAAAATTCTAGAACCCTTAAGAATTATGCTAAATGTACTCTGCCGATGCTCTAGAAATGCAACAATAAATCTGGATGACAGCATGTCTGTTTACAATATGATTTTCTGAATATTTTAAGCCCAGTGTTGAGATCTACTGCTCAGAAGAAAGAATCCTTTCAAAATATGACTGCTCATGGAAAATGCACCCTGTATCCCACAATCTGTGATGGAAAGGTACAAGAATATTGATGCTATTTTCATGCCTGCTAACACAATATCTAATCTGTAGCCCATGGATCAAGGAGTAATTTTGACTTTCAAGTCTTATTATTTAAGAAACACATTTTTAAAGTTATAGATGCCATAGATAGTGATTCCTCTCATGAATCTAGCCAAAGTAAATTGAAAACCTTCTAAAAAATATTCACCATTTGAGATGCCATTAAACATTCATGAATCATGGGAGGAGGTCAAAATATCAGCATTAACAGGAAATTGGAAGGAATCAATTCCAACTCTAATGGATAACTTTGAGGGTTTAAAGATTCAGTGTAGAAAGTCACCACAGATATGGTCAAAATGGCAAGAAAACTAGAATTGGAAATAAAGCCTGAAGATGTGGCAAATTTCTACAAGCTCATAAAGCTTGAATGGATGAGAAGTTGCTTCTTATGGATGAGCAAAGAGTGGTTTCTTGAGATGGAATCTACTGCTGGTAAAGATGCTACAAACATTGGTGAAATGACAACAAAGGATTTAGAATATTACATAAGCATGGTTGATAAATGAAGTAGCCACAAGGGTTTGAGAAGATTGACTAATTTTGAAAGAAGTTTCAATGTGAATAAAGCAGCAACTCATGCCTCAGTGAAATCTTTTGTGTAAGAGTCAAATCAGTGTTGCAAATATTATTGTTATCTTATTGTAAGAAATTGCCACAGCCACTCCAACCTTCCACCACCACCCTGCTCAGTCAGCAGCCATCAACATTGCAGGAAGCTCCTCCATCAGTAAAAAGATTATGACTCACTGAAGGCTCAGATGATCATTAGCATTTTTATCAATGAAGTATTTTTAAATTAAGGTATGAACATTATTTAGACATAATGCTATTGCACACTTACTAGACTACAGCATAATGTAAACATTGCTTTTATGTGCACCAAGAAACCAAAAAATTTATTTGACTGGTTTTATTGTAATTCACTTTATTGCAGTGGTCTAGAACTGAACCTGAATATCTTCAAGATATGCCTGTACTTTAAAAAAATCTTCTAATACTGCAGTTAAACAAAGCTTATTTGAAGCGAGAAAATTAAGCTTGCTTTTTTTTAAATCAGTTTGGGTTAAATTTGCCTATAGCATTCATCAAACGTTAGTGGTCAATAAAAAAATCTAATAATTATATATTAAGAAAGCCATTTGCCCAAAATCAAGGGGAAGAAGAATTCTGGGTCATAAGGCACTGTGCTCTAGAAGCCAATAGAAGTGAATCAAGGTAAAATGAAGGTAGCTGGACTCTAAAAGCCACTCTTCAACAAAATACTATAGAGAGAAAATGGTGTCTGAATTTTTAAAATAAAAGAAGCAGCAGGAGCTTTAACAGCAGAAGCATTTTTCTTTTCCAGGTTTTAATGATTTTGCTGAAAGTTAGTAAAAATTTTCAATAAAGTTTCATGACATTTTAAATAAATTTTAGAAATTAAATTAAGAAAAATTGTATAAAATTTACAGGTAATACTCTTTTTTATCCAATACCAAGTAATAAAATTTCATTTAAAAGAAAATGTGACGGAACTGAAATGTAAGAGGATGGAAGAAGTCTTTAATGAATAACAAGATGTTTATTCTGGGGAGAATATTCTCCATGTGGTCATCAAAACCATGGAATGATGATGAATATTATATAATGGAAGAACTACACATATGCCTATTGAGTAACTTGTTCCTACATTACAAAAGTCTTGTTTCTTCAAGTTTACTGTTTTTCTCTTATTAGGTTAGGTCCTTCACAAAACCTCTGAATAAAGTCTATATTTAGTGTAATGTTTATTAATAGGTAATGAATGAAGTTAAGTAGAGGCAAAACAATTGAAACAACATGCAAATAATACACAACATTTTTATGTTTTGTTTTATTGTAGCTGAGAAATGTAATGGCCACCAATCACAAATCTGCTTCAGTGGAAACTGAGGCATAAAAGAGGTTAAGTAAAACAGACATAATAGTAATGATAGCAGCTACTTCATAGAGTCTTTAGAAGGTTTACATGAAATAAAATATATAATGCACTTAGTGACTAGCAAATACGATAGTCCATAGTAAACAAAGCATAATTATCATTCTTTTTGCTACATTCGTTGAGATCTAGCCACTGTGCTTCATAAACCTCCAGCTCTCTAAAAGTTCCACCTGATATCGGTCATTAAAGAACAGAAAATATCAAGCCAAATAATTGCTTATGAGACAGGTCTGATGGGTATTTTTTTCTAGGGTTGTCACTAGGGTCTATGACATCATTATTAAAGTCTCCAGCTTAGGAGATTTAACTAAGCAATATTTTGATAAATGGTATCTCAAGTCTTGAATTGCATTATTTGTAAAGGCCTTGAAACTAGGCAATAAGTGGTTGTTGTCTGGACATGTATGATAGCCTTTGAGAAAAAAAAAAGTTAAAGAACTTTCATTTGAGACTCTGGAGTTCAGAATAACAGCCTGTGCCAAATAGAAAATCATAGATTCTCTGGCAGTCATGTCCAGTGGGCATGTCCAGGTCTGTCACACTTGGGAAATAACAAGTAAGAGTAACATACCAGAGGATGTGTAGTGGAGTAAGCAAATCAAAAGCAATATAAAAGCTGATAGAATTCTGAGTAAATGCTATGCATGTTGATTGATGAGCCAATGATCTCAGAGACAGCATCTGAATCTACCACTTAATTACTGTTGTAAAACTCTCTCCAGCATTCACATCCCCTAGGTAAACTTCCTAAGCAATTTCTGAAAATAGAGTTAGCCATGACCAATCTTGATTTTTACATAAACAAAGTCTAACCTGTTATCTAATTTGCATTCCATCATATTCTCTAGCTCACAGTGACTGTTGCTGGCCAGTGTTAAAAATCCTAATACTTAAAGAATATCTTGCTTGCTCTGTGCTAAGAAGAGAGAGAAACTGCTGATTCTAGATTTGCCCAGTTGCCTTTAAGCTACTGTAATACATTTGTTAAAATGTTGTTGGATCTTTTATTCATTTGTCCTAGTATACTACAGGGTAATAATTTCCTGACTTTGGAATTTCATAAACCCCTAAAATTGTGTACACATAAATTTGAGAGACCAGTATTTTCCAGTTTTACCTTAAACCACCAGAACCCTAAGTACTTGTGGTTTGTCGATTAATGTTAAGACAAAGGACATAATCTCTTGCGAGTTCTGTGGCCCTGTCTACTTCTTAAGAAACCCTAATACTTACCCAGGGGACCCTATGGCTAGGTTGTATCCTCCCTAATACTGTAGCTGGTGACGTCTTGAAAGTGCCATCTCCTGGCTGGAGACCAACAAACACAAAACTAGCACACTAAACAAACATACAACCAAGGACCCTCATAGAGTCCATTTCACTCCCCTGCTACTTCCACCAGAGTAGGTGCTGGTACCCATGGCTGAGAGACTTGAAGACGGATCACATCACAGGACTCTTTGCAGACACTCCACAGTACCAGCCTGAAGCCTGGAAGATTTGCTGGGTGGCTAGATCCAGAAGAGAAATAACAATTACAGCAGTCTGGCTCTCAGGAAACCCCATCCCTGAGGGGAAAGGGGAGGGCACCACATAAGGGAGCACCCCATGGGACCAAAGGATCTAAACAGCAGCTCTTGAATCCCAGATCTTCCCTCTGACACAGTCTACCCAAATGAGAAGGAATCAGAAAAACAATTCTGGTAATATGACAAAACAATATTCTTTAAAACCCCCAAAGATCGCACAAGCTCACCAACAATGGATCCAAACCAAGAAGAAATCTCTGAATTGTGAGAAAATTCAGAAGATGAATGATTAAGCTACTCAAGGAGGCACCAGAGAAAAGTGAACACCAACTTAAAGAAATTTAAAAATGTGACGGGATATGGATGGAAAAATCTCCAGAGAAATAGATAGCATAAATAAAAAAACAAACACAACTTCTGGAAATTGTGTTGAAGGACACACTTAGATAAATGCAAAATACACAGGAAATTCTCAGAATAGAATCAAACAAGTAGAAGAAAGAACTTCAGAGCTCAAAGACAAGGCTTCCAAATTAACCCACTCCAACAAAGACAAAGAAAAAAATAATTTTAAAAAATGAATAAGATCTCAAAGAAGTTTGGGATTATTTTAAACAACCAAACCTAAGAACAATTGGTGTTCCTGGGGAAGAATAGAAATCTAAAAGTTTGGAAAACATATTTGAGGGAATAATCGAGGAAGACTTCCATGGCCTTGCTAGAGATCTAGATATCCAAATAAAAGAAGCTCAAAGAACACCTGAAAAAATCACTGTGGAAAGATCATTGCCTAGGCACATAGTCATCAGGTTATCAAAAGTCAAGATGAAGGAGAGACTCTTAAGAGCTGTGAGGTGAAAGCATCAGGTAACCTATAAAGAGGGAAACCTATCAGATTAACAGCAGATTTATCAGCAGAAACCCTACAAGCTAGAAGGGATTGGGGTCCTATCATTATCCTCCTTAAACAAAATAATTATCAGCCAAGAATTTTGTATTCAGTGAAACTAAGCCTCATAAGTGAAGGAAAGATACAGCCTTTTTCAGACAAACAAATGCTGAGAGAATTTGCCATTACCAAGACAGCACTACAGGGACCACTAAAAGGAGCTCTAAATATGGAAACAAATCTTCAAAATACACCAAAATAGAATCTTCTTAAAGTGTAAATCTCACAGGACCTATAAAAATAACACAATGAAAACAAAAACAAGGTATTCAGGCAACAAACAGCACAACGAATAGAACTGCACCTCACAACTCAATACTAATATTGAATGTATTAAATGGCCTAAATACTCAATTTAAAAATGCAGAATGGCAGAATGGATAATAATTCACCAACCATCTTCTGTCCTCAAGAGACTCACCTAACACATAAGAACTCAGGTAAACCTAAGGTAAAAGGATGAAAGAAGATATTCCATGAAAATGGACACCAAAAGCAAGGAGAAGTAGCTATTCTTATTTTAGACAAAACAAACTTTAAAGCAACAGCAGTTAAAAAAGACAAAGAGGGATATTATATAATGATAAAAGGACTAGTCCAACAGGAAAATATCACAATTCTAAATATATAGTTACCTATCACTGGAGGTCCCAAATTTGTGAAACAATTACTACTAGACCTAAGGAATGAGATAGATGGCAACACAGTAATAGTGGGGGACTTTAACATGCCACTGACAACACTAGATAGGTCAAGACAGAAAGTCAACAAAGAAACAATAGACTTAAACTATACCCTAGAACAAATGGACTTAACAGATATTTATAGAACATTCTACCCAATTCTACCGTAGAATATGCATTCTATTCTTTAGCACATGCAACATTTTCCAAGATAGCCCATATAATAGGTCACAAAATAAGTCTCAATAAATTTAAGTAAATCAAAATCATATCAAGTATTCTTTCAGACCACTGTGGAATAATATCTGAAATTAACTCCAAAAGGAAACCTGAAAACCATGCAAATACATGGAAATTAAATAAGCTGCTCCTGAATAATCATTGGGTCAGTAATGACATCAAGATGGAAATTTAAAAATTATTTGAACTGAATGATAATAGCGACACAACCTGTCAAAACCTCTGGGATACAGCAAAGGTGATGCTAAGAGGAAAATTTATAGCCTTAAATGCCTATGTCAAAAAGTACGAAAGGGCACAAATAGACAATCTAAGGTCACACCTCAAGGAACTAGAGAAACGAGAACAAACCAAACCCTAACCCAGCAAAAGAAAGGAAATAACCAAGATCAAAGCAGAATTAAATGAAATTGAAACAACAACAAAAAACACAAACAATAAATGAAACGAAAACCTGGTTGTTTGAAAAGATAAATAAAATTGATAGAACACTAGTGAGACAAGAAGAGACATCCAAATAAGCTCAACTGGAAATGGGAGATTTTACAACTGATGCCACAGAAATACAAAAGATTATTGAAGGCTACTATGAACACCCTTACATGCATAAACTAGAAAGCCTAGAGGAGAAGGATAAATTCCTGGAAATACACAAACTTCCCGGATTAAATCAGGAAGAATTAGAAACTCTTAACAGACCAATAACATGCAATGATATTGAAATGGTAATTGAAAAAATTGCCAGGTAAGGGCAACCCCCTTTGGGTCCCCTCCATTTTATGGGAGCTCTGTTTTCACTCTATTAAATCTTGCAACTGCACACTCTTCTGGTCCGTGTTTGTTATGGCTCGAGCTGAGCTTTCGCTCGTCGTCTACCACTGCTGTTTGCCACCATCACAGTTCTGCCACTGACTTCCACCCCTCCGGATCTGGCAGGGTGTCTGCTGCACTTCTGATCCAGCGAGGCAGTGCCCATTGCTGCTCCCAATCAGGCTAGAGGCTCGCCATTGTTCCTGCTTGGGCTAAGTGCCCGAGGTTCATCCTAATCAAGCTGAATAGAGCTATAACACTCACTGCATAGCCCAAGATTCCATTTCTTGGAATCCGTGAGGCCAAGAACCTCAGGTCAGAGAACAAGAGGCTTGCTGACATCTTGGAAGCAGCCCGCCACCCTCTTGGGAGCTCTAAGAACAAGGACCTCCTGGTAACATTTTGACGACCACAAAGGGACCTCCAAAGCGATGGGAAACATTCCTCCCAAGGCAAAAATGCCCCTAAGATGTATTCTGGAGAATTTGGCCCAGTCAGAGTGTATGTACTTTTTTTCCTGTCAGACTTGAAGCAAATTAAAATAGACCTAGGTAAATACTCAGATAACCCTGATGGCTATATTGATGTTTTACAAGGGTTAGGACAATCCTTTGATCTGACATGGAGAGATAGAATGTTACTGCTAGATCAGACACTAACCCCAAATGAGAGAAGTGCCACCATAACTGCAGCCCCAAGAGTTTGGCGATCTCTGGTATCTCAGTCAGGTCAATGACAGGATGACAACAGAGGAAAGCGAACAATTCCCCACAGGCCAGCAGGCAGTTCCCAGTGTAGACCCTCAATGGGACACAGAATCAGAACATGGAGATTGGTGCCACAGACATTTACTAACTTGCATGCTAGAAGGACTAAGGAAAACTAGGAAGAAGCCTATAAATTATTCAATGATGTCCACTATAACAAAAGGAAAGGAAGAAAATCCTACTGCCTTTCTGGAGAGACTAAGGGAGACATTGAGGAAACATACCTCTCTGTCACCTGACTCTATTGAAGGCCAACTAATCTTAAAGGATAAGTTTATCAGTCAGCTGCAGACATTAGAAAAAAACCTTCAAAAGTCTGCCTTAGGCCCAGAGCAAAACTTAGAAACCCTAAAACAACTAAGAGCATTCCTTGGCATAATAGGCTTCTGCCGAATATGGATTCCCAGGTATGGCAAAATAGCCAGGCCACTATATATACTAATTAAGGAAACTCAGAAAGCCAATACCCATTTAGTAAGATGTACACCTGAAGCAGAAGTGGCTTTCCAGGCCTTAAAGAAGGCCCTAACCCACGTCCCAGTGTTAAGCCTGCCAATGGGGCAAGACTTTTCTCTATATGTCACAGAAAAAACAGGAATAGCTCTAGGAGTACTTACACAGGTCAAAGGAACCAGCTTGCAACCCGTGGCATACCTGAGTAAGGAAATTGATGTAGTGGCAAAGGGTTGGCCTCATTGTTTATGGGTAGTGACGGCAGTAGCAGTCTTAGTATCTGAAGCAGTTAAAATAATACAGGGAAGAGATCTTACTGTGTGGACATCTCATGATGTAAACGACATACTCACTGCTAAAGGAGACTTGTGGCTGTCAGAAAACCATTTGCTTAAATATCAGGCTCTATTACTTGAAGGGCCAGTGCTGTGTCTGTGCACTTGTGCAACTCTTAACCCAGACACATTTCTTCCAGACAATGAAGAAAAGATAGAACATAACTGTCAACAGGTGATTGCTCAAACCTACTCCACTCAAGGGGACCTTCTAGAGGTTCCCTTGACTGATCCCAACCTCAACTTGTATACTGATGGCAGTTCCTTTGTAGAAAAAGGACTTCGAAAAGCAGGGTATGCAGTGGTCAGTGATAATGGAATACTTGAAAGTTATCCCCTCACTCCAGGAACTAGTGCTCCACTGACAGAACTAATAGCCCTCACTCAGGCACTAGAATTAGGAGAAGGAAAAAGGGTAAATATATATACAGACTCTAAGAATGCTTACCTTGTCCTCCATGCCCATGCAGCAACATGGAGAGAAAGGGAATTCCTAACTTCCGAGGGAACACCTATCAAACATCAGGAAGCCATTAGGAGATTATTATTGGCTGTACAGAAACCTAAAGAGGTGGCAGTCTTACACTGCCAGGGTCATCAGAAAGGAAAGTAAAGGGAAATAGAAGAGAACTGCCAAGTGGATATTGAAGCCAGAAGAACGGCAAGGCAGGACCGTCCATTAGAAATGCTTATAGAAGGACCCCTAGTATGGGGTAATCCCCTCTGGGAAACCAAGCCCCAGTACTCAGCAGGAGAAATTGAATAAGGAACCTCATGAGGACAGTTTCCTTCCCTCAGGATGGCTAGCCACCGAAGAAGAAAAAATACTTTTGCCTGCAGCTAACCAATGGAAATTACTTAAAACCCTTCACCAAACCTTTCAGTTAGGCATTGATAGCACCCATCAGATGGCCAAATTATTATTTACTGGACCAAGCCTTTTCAAAACTATCAAGCAGATAGTTAGGGTCTGTGAAGTGTGCCAAAGAAATAATCCCCTGCACTATAGGCCATACATTTCAATCCCTGTATCTTTAACCTCCTTGTTAAGTTTGTCTCTTCCAGAATCAAAGCTGTAAAAGTACAAATCATTCTTCAAATGGAGCCCCAGATGCAGTCCATGACTAAGATCTACCACGGACCCCTGGACCAGCCTGCTAGCCTATGCTTCAATGTTGATGACATCGAAGGCACCCCTCTCAAGGAAATCTCAACTGCACAACCCCTACTACACCCCAATTCAGCAGGAAGCAGTTAGAGCAGTTGTCAGCCAACCTCTCCAACAGCACTTGGGTTTTCCTGTTGAGGAGGGGGACTGAGAGACAGGACTAGCTGGGTTTCCTAGGCCAACTAAGAATCCCTAAGCCTAGCTGGGAAGGTGACCGCATCCACCTTTAAACACGGGGCTTGCAACTTAGCTCACATCTGACCAATCAAGTAGTAAAGAGAGCTCACTAAAATACTAATTAGGCAAAAACAGGAGGTAAAGAAATAGCCAATCATCTATCGACTGAGAGCACAGGGGGAGGGACAATAATCGGGATATAAACCCAGGCATTCAAGTCAGCAACGGCAACCCCCCTTTGGGTCCCCTCCCGTTTAATGAGAGCTCTGTTTTCACTCTACTAAATCTTGCAACTGCACAAAAAAAAAAAAAAGAAAAAAGAAAAAAAAGAAAACATTGCCAGGCAAAAACAAATAAACAAACAACAACAACAAAAAAAGCTCAGCCAGGACCAGATGGATTCACAGCTGAATTCTACCAGACATTCAAAGAAGAATTGGTATCTATCCTATTGACACTATTCCACAAGATAGAGAAAGAGAGAACCCTCCCTAAATCATTCTATGAAGCCCATATCAACCAAATATTAAAACCAGGAAAGGATATAATGAAAAAAGAAAACTACAGACAAATATCCCTGATGAGCATAGATTCAAAATTTCTTAACAAAATACTAGTTAACCAAATCCAACAACATATCAAAAAGATAATCCACCATGATCAAGTGGGTTTCATACCAGAGTTGTAGGGATGGTTTAACACATAGACAAGTCAATAAATATGACACACCACATAAAAAAGAATTAAAAACAAAAATCATATGATCATCTCAATAGATGCAGAAAAAGCATTTGACAAAATCCAGCAACACTTTATGACTAAAACCCTCAGCAAAATTGGCATAGAAGGGACATATCTGAAGGTAATTAGAATCATTTATGACAAACCCACAGCCAACATTATACTGAATGGTGAAAGTTGAAAGCATTCCCACTGAGAAATGGGACAAGACAAGGATGCCCACTCTCACCACATCTATTCAGCATAGAACTGGAAGTCCTACCCAGAGCAATCAGACAAGAGAAAAAATGGCATCCAAATTGACATAAAGGAAGTCAAACTGTCACTGTTTGCTGATGATATGATTGTATACCTAGAAAACCCTTAAAACTCATCAAAAAGTTCCTAGAATTGGTACATGAATTCAGCAAAGTTTCAGGATACAAAATTAATGTACACAAATTAGTTGCTCTGCTATACATTAACAGCGACCAACTTGAGAATCAAATCAAGAACTCAACCCCTTTTACAATAGCTTCAAAAATAAAATAAAATACTTAGAAATATACCTAACCAAGGAGGTGAAAGACCTCTACAAGGAAAACTACAAAACACTGCTGAAAGAAATCATAGATGACACAAACAAATGGAAACAAATCCCATGCTCATGGATAAGTAGGATCTGTATTGTGAAAATGACCATACTGCCAAAAGCAATCTACAAATTCACTGAAATTCCCATAAAAATACCACCATCATTCTTCACAGAATGAGAAAAAAAAATCCTAAAGTTCATATGGAACCAAAAAACAGCCCACATAGCCAAAGCAATACTAAGCAAAAAGAATTAATCTGAAGGCATCACATTACCCAACTTCAAGTTATACTACAATGCCACAGTCACCAAAACAGCATGGTATTGGCATAAAAATTGGCACATAGACCAATGGAAGAGAATAGAGCACCCAGAAATAAAGCCAAATACTTACAGCCAACTGATCTTCAACAAAGCAAACCAAAACATAAAGTGGGGAAAGGAGACCCTATTCAACAAATAGTGCTGGGATCATTGGCAAGCCACATGTAGGAGAAGGTAACTGGATCCTCATCTCTCACCTTATACAAAAATCAACTCAAGATGGATCAAGGACTTAAATTCAAGGCCTGAAACCATAAAAATTCAGAAGATAACATTGGAAAAAACCTTCTAGAGATTGGCTTAGGCAAAGACTTCATGACCAAGAACTCACAAGCAAATACAACAGAAACAAAGATAAATAGATAGGACTTAATTAAATGAAAAAAGTTCTGCACAGCAAAAGAAATAATCAGCAGAGTAAACAGACAACCCACAGAGTGGGAGAAAATCTTTGCAATCTGTACATCTGACAAAGGACTAACATCCAGAATCTACAAGGAACTCAAACAAATCAGCAAGAAAAAAAAAAAAAAAACAAATCATGCCATAAAAAAGTGAACTAAGGACATGAATAGACATTTCTCAAAAGAAGACATACAAATGGCCAGCAAACATGAAAAAATGCTCAACATCACTAATGATCAGGGAAATGCAAATGAAAACCACAATGTGATACCACCTTCCTCCTCCAAGAATGGCCATAATCAAAGAATCAAAAAATAATAGATGTTGGCATGGATGCGGTGAAAAGGGAACACTTTGACACTGCTGGTAGGAATGTAAACTAGTAAAACCACTATGGAAAACAGTGTGGAGATTCCTTAAAGAACTAAAAATGATCTACAATTTGATCCAGCAATTCCACTGCTAGGTATCTACCCAAAGGAAAAGAAGTAATTATACAAAAAAGATACCTTCACATGCATGTTTATAGCAGCACAAGTTGCAATTGCAAAAATATGGAACCAGCCCCAATGCCCATCAATCCATGAATGGATAAAGATATTGTGGTATATGTATATCATGGAATACTACTCAGCCATAAAAAGGAAGGAAATAATGGCATTCACAGCATGCTGGATAAATTTGAAAATCATTATTCTAACTGAAGTAACTCAGGAATAGAAAACCAAACATTGTATGTTCTCACTCATAAGTGGGAGCTAAACTATGCGGACACAAAGGCACAAGAATGACACAAAGGACTTTGGGGCCTGGGGAGAAATGGTGGTGGGGGGTGGGGGGGCGCAGTGAGAATTAAAAGACTACACATCTGGTACAGTGTACCCTGCTTGAGTGATGGGAGCACCAAACTCTCAGAAATCATCACTAAAGAACTTATTCATGTAACCAAACACCACTAGTTCTCCAAAAACCTATTGCATAAATAATAATAATAATAATAAAAACTTTGGTTATCTATCCCACCATGTGAATGTGAACCATGGTTCATATGTCTTTTTACTGTCTCCTTGCTTATATGCAGTGTTGTCTACATAGTAGACCCTAAAATAGTTTTTTAAATGAACTTTTTTTTTGGAATTGGTAAACCAGCATGAGTTGCTCTTAACTCTTAATTTCAACATATGCACACGATCACACAATAGTATTACAGTTCACGGCAAGGTTGGATGGAAGAAATAACGGAAGCTGCGGGATGCCTCAAAATATTTCCCAATTGCTCTAATATGTATAAATGCATATTTATCCAAATAGTTGCGTAGAGTCAGAGTGAAAAGTGATTTAACTTTGAATGAGTCCTCCTGCTTTCCAGAGTTTGATTTCTAGCTATGTGTAACTTGTAGTTAATGAAGTCACACATCTGATACCTTCAGTGCCTACCAACACATTGCTCTTAATTCTCAGAGAGGCTAACTTTCCCAGGCTGGCAAGACAAACTAATAATGGCCTGCCTTAGCTTCAGTTTTATCAAGTTTATCTGAACTTAATTGACATATTGAAGGGGGTGAGAGGAAGCCAGAGATCCTAAGAGGCAAAGACCTGTTTGCCTTTCACTGTTCTGGAGTGAAAGTTCCTCCTCCTGAATGGTCCAGTGCCCTAGAGTTGTCATGACAATCAGAAAATTTTTGCAACCTACTCATCTGACAAAGAGCTAATATCCAGAATCTACAATGAACTCAAACAAATTTACAAGAAAAAAACAAACCACCCCATCAAAAAGTGGGCAAAGGATACGAACAGACACTTCTCAAAAGAAGACATTTATGCAGCCAAAAAACACATGAAAAAATGCTCATCATCACAGGCCATCAGAGAAATGTAAATCAAAACCACAATGAAATACCATCTCACACCAGTTAGAATGGCGATCATTAAAAAGTCAAGAAACAACAGGTGCTGGAGAGGAAGTGGAGAAATAGGAACACTTTTACACTATTGGTGGGACTGTAAACTAGTTCAACCATTGTGGAAGTCGGTGTGGTGATTCCTCAGGGATCTAGAACTAGAAATACCATTTGACCCGGCCATCCCATTACTGGGTACATACCCAAAGGATTATAAATCATGCTGCTATAAAGACACATGCACATATACGTTTATTGCGGCACTATTCACAACAGCAAAGACTTGGAACTAACCCAAATGTCCAACAATGATAGACTGGATTAAGAAAATGTGGCACATATACACCATGGAATACTATGCAGCCAAAAAAAGATGAGTTCATGTCCTTCATAGGGACATGGATGAAGCCGGAAACCATCATTCTTAGCAAACTATCGCAAGGACAAAAAATCAAACACCGCATGTTCTCACTCATAGATGGGAGTTGAACAATGAGAACACATGGACACAGGAAGGGGAACATCACACACCGGGGACAGTTGTGGGGTGGGGGGAGGGGGGAGGGATAGAATTAGGAGATATACCTAATGCTAAATGACGAGTTAATGGGTGCAGCACACCAACATGGCACATGTATACATATGTAACAAACCTGCACATTGTGCACATGTACCCTAAAACTTAAAGTATAATAATAATTAAAAAAAAGAAAAAAATATGCCTTTGAAAAGAAAGGTGCTTTGGGAAGTCACATTCCTCTGTTTAACTTCCTTTTGTTTCATTTCCACAATTACCAACTAAATTTTGGGAAAATATCATTAGAAAAGCAATATGTTATGGGATAAAAAGCCTAGAGTGAATTATCCAGGAAACTGTTACTGACAGCTTTGTAAGGAAGAGAAATTTGTATTTGTTTCCTCCTAATAAAAGCAATATGTGTCAATACGCTTGCCAGCAATATAGGGTTAGGGTTAGGGAAAATGTTGTAAATTCCAGAATATATAAGGAAGAAAAAACATTCATCCATTATCTCACTCTTAGAAACACTTTAACATTTTGGTATGTTTCTTTTCAGCTTTTCTCTTATCCTTTTTTTTTTTTTTTTTTTTTTGAGTTGGAGTCTCGCTCTTGTCACCCAGGCTGGAGTGCAATGGCGCAGTCTTGGCTGACTGCAACCTCCGCCTCCCAGATTTGAGTGATTCTCCTGCCTCATCCTCCTGAGTAGCTGGGATTACAGGCACCCGCCACTATGCCCAGCTAATTTTTGTATTTTTAGTAGAGATGGGGTTTCATTATGTTGGCCAGGCTGGTCTTGAACTCCTGACTTCAGGTGATCTGCCCGCCTTGGCCTACCAAAGTGCTGGGATTGTACAGGCATGAGCCATCACGCCCGGCCTTTTTAGCATTTTTCTATGTGCATAAGAGATTATTCTGCCTGTGCAATTCTTGATTCTGCTGGCTTTTCTTTGCTAAACATTATATCATAAACATCTTTACATATTGTATATTCATAGAAAACATAATTTTTAATCATTGAGTAATAATCTGTATTCAGATAATGGATATATCATAATTTATTTGATTTCTTTATTGTTGGATATTTATGTCGCCTCACTTTTGTGCCATTATAAAAAACACTGCAATAAAAAGTTGGGGGGCATAAATATTTGCTGGAATTTTATATTTTTTCCTTAAGAAAGATCTCTGACTTACTGTTTCAAGGAGTATAAATATTTTAAGCCATTCTGGCAAATATTTATTATTCAGAGTTGACATATATTTATTTAACGTTCTCACTTGTCCTTATGATTTAGCATTTGTTATTTGAAGGATTGTGTGTCCCTAAAATGTCATTAGACTCCCATATATCAGGCAGTTTATTTATACTATTTAGAAAGGGGTGTGTGTGTATGTGTGTGTGCATGTGAGTGTGCACATATGTGGATGTATGTGTGTGTTTCTTTAATGACTAAACCAGTCAAACTGTTTGTCAAAATGTTGTTCATGGAACAGTAGTTGTATGAGGTGTTAAAGCATGTGCTGAGAGGCAAAAATGGCTTATGTTCAATAAATGTAGGGAATATTGGCCTAAATGCTGTTACATATGCTTCACCTAACTACTTACCCATGGCTAACATGGTAAGAGCAACAGTGAATAGTATGCAACTGAAATAATCAAGTTTTCTAGTTCAGTACCTGTAAGTAATTGTGCCATGGCATAGCAGCCTGACATATTGCTCTTTCAAATGGGGTATTCTTTTCAGAGTCTATAGGAAGTCTGATGGCAAACAAAAGTTTTGACGCTTACTGGTGCATCTTGCCTGGACAGAAGTGAGGTGAGGACAGGTATGCTTGAAGGCTGTTCTAACTCTTGCAGGTCACAGAGGGGAATGTGGCCCACTGAGATTGATTGGATCAAGACTCAAGGGCCTGGGAGTGCATACTGAGATGCATGAACTGTCAGTGTGTCTTCTTCATGGTCCTTTTTACATATTAACTTGGAGAGAACCACACAATTCCACCTAAAGAAAAAAAAAGTTTACGCCTGTAATCTCAACACTTTGGAAGGCCCAGATGGGAGATCACTTAAGCCCAAGAGTTGGACACCATGCCAGGCAACACAGCAAGATCTCGCCTCTTAAAAAAAATTGCCTGGTGTGATCCTGGTGGTGTATGCATGTAGTCCCAGGTACTTGGGAGGCTGAGGCAGAAGGATCACTGGGACCTGGGAGGTTGAGACTGCAGTGAGCCATGATTGCACCACTGCATTCCAGCCTGGGTGACAGAGCGAGACTTCATCTTAAGAAACAAAAGAAAAACATGAATCAGTGTTTCACACTGATGTTTTCTCATTTTCCTATGTCGTAGAAGAGATTTCTGTACCCTAAGTGGGCAGGAGAGAAGATCAAGAATGTTGTTTGCTATTTTAAAAAGTTTTCTCTAATTTGGTAATACTTTCCCTTCTGTTTGGTTTTCTGGAATAGTGCATTTTTGTATATTTTGTGTATTGTGTCACAATTATACTAAAATGGTGAGAAAAATTAGCTGTTGACAGATAGGAAGTTCTTGATTCTTTTCTTAGGGGACCAATTGCAAGGATAGTTTTTGTTTATTTATAAAAATCTTACATTGATGGTAGCAGACAAGAAATGAAGGGCATCGCTATTTATCATGAAAACCTATTGAACACCTGTGATGCATGCTGTTTTATACTTTCTCAAAAAAAGAATAATTAAATAATTCAGTGAACACCCATTATACAAACCACCAGAAAATTTTAATCAGATGTTTGTTTTAACCAGAGACAGTTTTAACATATTTATAATACATTTGTATTAACTATAGAAACTGAAACATCTTTTTTATTGCCAAGTTAGTTTCCAGGATGTTTAAGCATTAGGAAATAACAAGAAGCTTAATTAGAGGTATCATAAAAAGAAAAACTCTTGTAGAAATGATGAAAACTTCTCAGAGAAAAAGTATAGATAAGGGAATTATGTTCAATATTTTTAGAAGGTTCTTTACAGTGATGAGATTTGTTTCTCTTTAATTTCCACTGTTAGGTCTAATTCTCTCAATATTAGCCTTTCCTCTATTTGAGAATAACTGTCATTTTCCCTAAGAGTATATAAGGTTTTCCATTCACATTTTTTTCAAAATGCTTACTCTAATACCATGCACACACATCAATAAAATTTGTCATGTATATTTGTATTTATATGCATTTTTAGTACTTCATGCTATTAGACAATTGTCTTTGTTCATTTTTATGTTTCTGTAAAGGAATACCTAAGTCTGGGTAATTTATAAAGAAAAGTGGTTTATTTGGCTTACAGTTCTGCAGGCTGTACGAGAAGTATGGCATCAGCATCTGCTTCTGGTGAAGGACTCAGGCTGCTTCCACTCATTGTGGAAGGCAAGAAGGGAAACTGATGTGTGCAAAGATCACACGGTGAGAGTGGAAGTAAGAGAGATCAGGGAAAGTGCCACACTCTCTGTAACAACCAGGTCTTGGAGGAACTCTTGTGTGAACTAATAGAGGGGGAACTCATTCCTTACTGTGAGGACGGCACCAAACCACTAATGATGGATCCACCCCCATGAAAACCTCCCATTAGGCCCCATCCAACACTAGGCATCAAATTTCAACCTGAGACTTGGTGGGGCCAAATAAACCATATCTGAGCCATAGCAACAAATAACAACAAATAATTTTAGATAATTATTCTTGGAAATAATTTTTAGGCCTCAGTCAAATCTTCCTTTTTGGCCCTTCTTAATAATTGAGAGAACATAGATGTATTTACATGTTGATATGGTTTGGATCTGTGTCCCCACCCAAATCTCATGTCAAATTGTAATCCCTAATGTTAACAGTGGGTCCTGGTGGGAGGCAATTGGATCATGAGGGCAGATTTCCCCTTTGGTGCTGTTCTCATGATAGTGAGTGAGTACAGCAGTTGGGGACCTGTGCTGTACAGCCTGTGGAGCTAAGAGTCAGTTAAACTTCTTTTCTTGATAAATTACCCAGCCTCAGGTATTTCTTTATAGCAGTGTGAAAATGGACTAATATGCATGTGTTTCCACCAATTTCTGAGTCAAGGTGAAGTTACAGGAGTCAGGAATATGCTTTCTCCTAAAGGCCCTGCTCTTTCTGATGGCCCCCAGAAACCAAACCCTAAATCCCTCACCCCAGATCTGAGACACTTATTGGTTCACTGAAGTCCTTTTTTGGAATTTAAAGACTAGCAACAGCAATTTGTCGCCTAAATTGAGTTTACCTATTTTTAGAAATGTCTGAATACCCAGGTTAGAGACAAGTTGCAAGGCATGCGTCTTCACAAATCTCCCTATAGATATGGACAGTTCAGTTTCCAGACTCAGACAAAAACTCCTGATTACATTTGTGAAGACCAGCCCCATCAAATGGAGCTCAAGTCTTCTCTCATCCACTCACAGCTCCACTTCTATTGTATTAAACCTATTTACATATTTCAGACATGTGTGAACTGCTTAAGGCTGCAACCTAAGCTGATTTTTAGGACAGGTGGCAGTTAAGGAACATTTTATCTCCTAACTACTCTTTGAAATTAAATAATACATGTAAGGCACATAGATTGTTTTTAAATAATGTATGTGTTAATATTCAAAAGGAGAAAGGTCATTTGAAGTCAGAAGTAGAGGTCAGTGATAGCTCAAACACCTGTGAATTTAAAATGATTAAGAAATTACTAAGAAAAGACACATCTACATTCTTAGAAATGGAATTTAAAGAATCAATTGTATTTGGGTCAATTTCATAGGATTGTAATTATCACTGTAATCTTACAAGTTACTCTTATGTACCAGAAATTGGTAGGGCTGAATATATACTCTAACTTAAATAGAGATACTTGCATGATGATGTAGCAACCTCGCAGCATCAATGGTGGGACTTCCTCACCAAATCTTGGATATACAGTCTTAGTGGTACCTAATTCTCCTCACTCATGGGAAGTGTGGAAAAAGTCCTCAAGATATCTTAAACTTGCTCCCAGAATTCTGGGAACCATGGGAGAGGCAGTGTTGAAAAGAGGCTAGGACCAAAGACAATGGAGCCAGACTGCTCTCATTCCAATCCTAGTTCAGTCACTTACTACCTGCAAATCTTCGGGCAACTAACTTAGCCTTGCATCCATCAATAAAATAAAACTAATAATCTCTCTTTCTCAGGTTTTGGTATGAGAAGCAGATGAATTAATACTTGTAAATCACTTGGAGTATTTCCTGTAGTTACTACCATATAGGCATTTGTTAAAATGAAAGAGAATCATGAGAATCTCAGCCTTGAGTGTGGTGATCTGGGCTTCCATGTGCTATTGGAAAGACTTTTTCTCTAGCTTTGTATATAAATTGCCAAGTGTGACTTTGTATTACAACTTTGCTCTTTATCACCAAGTTATGTCCTCTGGGATAAAGTTCCTCTCCAGGTCTCATCATTACATGTCGGAAGAAACAGACACAGAAGGATTCCATGTGCTGTGCTGATGCTTTCGGTTTGGCCTAGAGGCATCAGCTTATGTAGTTGAAACTTAAAGAATAATTTAATGTCTAGTGAGTATGTTTGGGGACAATGATATTTTACAGTGACAATATCTAATTTGATTATTTTTTAACTGATGATATGGCTAAATCAAGTAACTAAATTGACTTGGTTATTTGATTTATATATAGAGAACTAATCTCAGAAAATGAATCCTAATCAATCCAATAACAATGTGAAAAGTAGATTTAAGAAGTTCTGAAATAAAATCCTGTCTTGAATTTCTAGAGTAGTGATTTCCATTTCAGGGTTTTGGAATTTATAATTATTTTGATCAACAATAAAAATATCAATATAATCTTTCAAAAAGATATAGATAGAATCTGGGGGGAAGATGGTGCTGCAAGTCTGAAGCATAATGAAAAGCTATTGGATACCTTGTGCACTTAGCATTTTTTATGTAATATGCTTTAAATTATATTGACTGTCTCTCAGAAGTTCATGTACTTTGAGTTTTCCAACAGCAGTAATGATCTAAGCTTTCTATTACTACTTTGCAAACAAAGAATTTTTTTTCTCCTCAGAAGCTCTAAATAACTCCACCAGGAATCAAGCATATTTTATTAGAACACTGCACTCAAGAAGAATAAGTGATATCAGAAAGAAAAAAGAAAAAGAAACAAAACCAAAAGAATTTTACCACACGCAAAACAAAGCAAATACAAACTGAAGACCAATAAAATTCAATTCAGTAGGCATTTATTGTGTTTCTACTATTCACAATGATCCTACAAGGAATGGGAAATGTAATAACTAAGAAACAAGCTAACAAGAATTAATAGAATATAGTTCTGGCCCTGGAAAAAAAATATATTCCAGTGCAATCAGGGAGGCTGGCATACAAAATTAATAGTGTGTTGTGGGCTGGGCATGGTGGCTCACGCCTGTAATCCCAGCACTTTGGGAGGCCAAGGGGAGTTTGAGACCAGCCTAACCAACATGGTGAAACCCCATCTTTACTAAAAATACAAAAATTAGCTGGCCATGGTGGCATGCACCTGTAATCCCAGCTACTCAGGAGGCTGAGGCAGGAGAATTGCTTGAACCTGGGAGGCAGAGGTTGCAGTAAGCCAAGATCGCACCACTGCACTCCAGCCTGGGCAACAGAGCGAGACTCCATCTCAAAAAAAAAAAAAAAAATTAGTGTGTTGAGATACATACTGCAAAAGAGCTCTATATACTAGGTCTTCTGAAAGCACAGATGACCAAGTCCAGGTGTTACAGGGGAGATGTAATTGGGCTGGGCCTGACAGAATGACATTTGTCAGGAACAGAGGGAAGGACATGTCCAAACAATAGGGGGAACAAAAAATACTGGCTATTTGTGAAATGAGGATTGGTTTAGATTTTAGGGCAGGAGAGTCTAGGGGTGTAATAGAAATTGTGTCTGGTAAGGTAGGATGGGGTGAGAGTACAAATGGACATGTTTTGCTATACCAAGGAATTTGGAACTTGTCTTTAGGCAGTGGGAATGCCACAGAAGTTTTGTTTGTTTGTTTTTTATCACATAAGAATTTAAGTTTTAGGAAAAAAAAAACTCTAGATGTAGAGAATTAATTGGTATTTTCCCTATAATGTATCTCAGCCATAAAGGTACCCATGTTTGTAAAGTATTTTTCGTATGTAAATTGCCAGAAAGAATGATAGACTGCCTTTTAAAAAGATCACTTGAGTTCATTTTTACCCATTTTCAAATATTTATTTTTTTCCTCCTCTCAATACTAAGAAAAATGATTTTGCTAGTTTTCTGACTTAAAGACTAATGTTGAATAAAAAAGCTCAGATAGATTCAAAGAAAATTATCTACTTTTTTAAACTTTAAAACATTCGGGTTTTATTCCCCCCTTGAAAGAGAAAGTACTATTTATCTACCTTTGTCAAATCTTTTAAAATAGTAACCCAAGAAACACGATGATTCATCTCCTTCTTACTGACTGTTGTACTAAAAACCTGAGACTTCTGCTTGTATCATTTAGTTCTAGCAATCCATGGTCAAGAAGAATCCCACAGACTTCTTTGCCAAGATGCAGTTATGTTTCGGTTGATTTCAAGAGTAGGGAATTAGACTTGTTATGTTTTCATTCTGTCTCCATTTTTCTGAATTTTACTTATGGCAAATCACTGTCCTTGATTGTACCCTAAGTAATTTTTTCTCCATTGTTGTGCAATAGAGCACATAGCTAAGACTTAGATCTTTTCTGATCTGCCTCTCCCATTTGATGATCCCTATGTCATCATTTTAAAGCAGTTCCAAAGCAATCTAGAAGATGGTGATCCTTTTGGAAGATGTCACGTGAATAGCTAGAGTTTATAGAGCAAAGATTTAAAGAAATTACCTTTTTAGGATAATAGTGCCATGTGTAGACATCCATTAACTATAGACTGTCAGGGTGTCATATTGAAGGTTGAGTAACTGTCTCATGATTTGGATGTAGAATATGACTTAGAAAAATGCAAAAGGCAAGGTAATTCGTGAATTCCTTTTTTTCCTCCTTTTTTTAATCAAGTTTTTCAAGGCATAATTACATGCACAATAAAATGCACTCATTTTAAGTTCATAGTTGGGCGAGTTTAAAATGTATATATTTGTGTAACCACCACCAAAATCAATTTAGATATAAACATTTATATCACCCTAAAGCATCCTTTCATGTTTCTTTTCAATCACACTCCTACCTTCGGCTCTTGGCAACCACTAAGAAATAATCACTACAAATTGGATTAAATTTTTATAGAATCCCCTTTCAATGGAATCATAGAATGCATACTTTTTCCTGTGTAGCTTTTTCACTCAGCATAATGTTTTTGAGATTCATCTATGTCATATGACAATAGTTTGTCCCTACTTAGTGTTAGCTAGTATTTCACTTTATGGATATACCAGAATTTGTTTACCCGTTTACCTACTTTTGGGTAATTGGGTTATTTCAAATTTACTCTTTTAAATAAAGATACTGTGTATGTGCATGTATACTTCTTTGTACACACATGGTTTCATTTTTCTTGGGTGAAAACGTAGAAGTGAAATTGCTAAATCATCTGGTGCTGGTGTTTAATTTTTTTTAAGAAGCTGTGAATTGTTTTCTAAAGTAGTTGTACCATTTTATACTTCCAGCAATTTGTGAGGCTTCCAGTTGTTCTATAGTCTTTATGATATTTGCAGTTATCAATATTTTTAATGCTTATCATTCTAATATATAGTGATAGTTTATTGGGCTTTTAATTTGCATTTCTCTGACAGTAAATTATATTGATCATATTTTCAGATGCTTGTTGGTCACTCACGTTTGCCTGTTTTACAGTGTATATTTTTTTCATGCTAATATACTGAATTACAACAATTGATTTACCAGTGCTAACACAACCTTACGTTTCTGGAATTAACCTCTTAGTCATGATTTTATTGTTTTTATTATTACAGTTTTATATGCATATATTTTAAAAAGATATTTTTATCTATGTTTATAAGAGATAATCTGAAGTTTTCATTTTTATATTGTCTGGTTTTGGTTTTGTTATTGTATTCTTTTTATTTTATTTTGGATGCGGGGGTACACGTACATGCTACTTGGGTATATTGCATACTGGTGGGGATTGGACTTCTAGTGTACCCATTATCCAAATAGTGAAGATTTTATTACTGTATTAATTCTGGCTTTAACGTATGCCTAGTTAAGCAGGAGTAGCCTTTAATGTATGCCTAGTTAAGATCTACTCTTATGGCACATCCCTTCTGGAGTTTCAGCTGAATGCTCGGGTGTTCAATGAGGACTCTGCTTTTTGGCTACTCAAAACTCAAATGTCTCCTAGCCCCATGTGAACTCTTGTTCAGATTTCAGCTCCCAGTTTATTTGCCCAGGCTTGTGGAGTTCTACCCTTTGTATTGTGAATTTGCATTAAGCGAAAGAGTGAATAAGGCCCCTATGTGTATTTCTATAGCTTTTTCTCTTGAATGCTTTTTTTTTTCTAGAACTTTGCCCTTCAAATCCCAGCCACCTAGCTTCACTGCACTCAGATCTTTGTCTTCTTAACCCAGCAAGACATTCATGCTGTGTTTTGGATCCCCTCCCTGCACCATGGCCTGGATAGATCCTTCAGTAGAAAGTTGGGAAGATTGTAGGAACCACCTTATTTGTTTCCCTTTCTTTAGGGATCAGCATCCTATGTCACCTGTTGTCTAATATCTGATCATAGTTTTAAAATATATTTTGTTCCTTTTTCTGTTTCTTTTGTTTTTACTGTGAGAGGGTAAGTTCTTTATTATAATCAGAGGTAGAATTTCAGTGCCCTACATTTTGTTGTTGTTTAAAACCAATTGAGTTAGGCACAGTGTCTGATCCTGCACTCTTTGGATAGAGTGAATAAAACACTGCATGAATGAATAAAGCACTGGGTGTTTTTTCTAATTGAGGGGCAATATGTGCCATCTTATTTGAAAGAAGCCATAAATAAACATCCATTCATCAACTGGATAGTCACTGAATCCGAAACCACGTTGGTCAAGTGACAAGACTTAGGAACATGACTAGGATCCCTTAAGAGCTATTTGTTTTTCTAACAATCCAAATATTATTTACAAATAATATTTACAAAATGGTGAATTTTATTAATATTATTTATAAATATTATTATAATTATAAATAATATAAAAATATTATTTATAATATTTATATTTATAATATATTATGATATAATAAATAATATAATAAAAATTTATAAATATTATTTACAAAATGGTGAAAGTGCTTTTGCCTCATTAAAAAAAATCTAGTTAGGCTTATTTAATCACTGTTTTTTCCATCCTCAAAAATAGTACATGAATTAAAACCAGAAAAAAACTCCTAATTTATTTGAATATATGCAGCAAAATTTTATGTAATTTTAGCAGTAGGCTTAAGTTAGCAATGGAGAGGATAACTAAGGCCAGTATGCCATAAAAAATGAATATTGCTATTTTATTTTATTGGCTCAGAATTTCAACATTTAATTTGGTTCCATCAAATATTATAAAGATAACACTGATGATGAACACCATGAGTGCATGTATTTCAGAATCATGATTTTGAATCACGATGAAAATTTGTGTTACTCACCCACACAATTTTGTCTATTTCCTTTTATAACTATAATAAGCAATTATAGAACAATTGCTTGAAGTTAGAGTTTAGCCTGTAAACATAAATTACTGAAACAAACTGGCCCTTTAGGGTGTCAGACTATTGACTTTGGCCTCTAATCAACAGAGTATACCAACCACAAATAATTTTATATATTCCTGGCATTGATGTATAATAGGTATACAGTTTGAAAATTATTATTGTGCTTTTCCATTTTGCCTTTTTGAGTATAAGACATCTGCACTAGTTCCCAAAAGGTAAACATTACCTGGGACTATATTAGGAGCTCATAGTGTAGAATACAAGGAGAAAGACACAGTAATATTCAGCTTCTGACATGAAAAGAAAATTGTGTCATACATTAGTCTTACAGATCTTACCATAGCCCTGAAAGATGGCTGCTGAAATTCCCTTATTCCCTTCTTTAGCATAATAGTAAAGCTAGTTTTTAAGGACTCTCTATATAGTTTTCCCCAACAGTGTAAAGAAGAGACCCCTTCTAAGACAGGCCCTCTCCCCCAAAAGGCTGGCCCTGGGATTTGCATGAAGAGGAGTAGAGAGAGAAAAAAAAATACCAGAACACTTAGATACCTGTGTCCCCATTTCTTTTTGGGGCTTTGGTCAGGGTTAAACTTGGGGGGCATGAATTTAGGGGGGTCACTAAGGATAGGGCTCTGCATGTAGTATTTGTTTGGGTCTTTGGGAGAAGACTACCCACATTAATGTTGGTGGTGGACTATTTCTCAGATGAATACCTTGAAATTTACATTTTCTGAGCTAAAAGTCAGGAGACATTGCAAAGGGCAAGGGGATCCCAACAGCACATGCGGAAGTAGACATGTCAATGAGGGGCCAGGTGGAAGAGGACTCAGACTCAGGAGTCTGCAGCCAGCAAGAGCTGAAAGCAGGCTGAACTGGTAGCGATGAGATGGCTGATACTCCCTATGGGCTGATACTCCCATGGGCTGATACTCCCTATAATTGCCTCTAGAATCAAACCTGAATCATGAATTACTGGCTCTAAACTGCAGCAAAGGAGGTCAGCAGAGCTCACAGAGAGCAGGTCCACAAAAGCCATTGTCTTGTAGAATAGTGGACAACAGGTTGCACATATCTGAGGATTAGCATGAAGTTATTTCCACCAATGGCATGAGGATAGCCAGGCCCACAAGGAAATTTGTGCCATACACTCTACACTTCTCTATTCATGCAGACTCCTTAAAGAAGTTAGAGGGAACAGGAAAATATTAGAGACACTGAACATTTTTATCAAGAGAAAATGAACCCTACATAGATTGGACTAAGCTTTAATCTGGACTAGACAGTTAATTAATTTTTCCCATTACTCACTAGAGTGGAAAACACAGAGATTATTTGAGGACAGGAGTTTGTTGGGACAAATGAAAAAGCTTAATTTCCTCTGCATGTTTAACCTGAATCAAAAGAAATCAATTAATGGCTTATGATTTTATTGCAAACTTTAGACAAATTATTTATCTTTATCTGCATTAGTTTCATTAAAGATATAAACCTAAAATATACAAAGTACCGTTTGAAATACTATGGCAATACGTACACGCATAACTCCATCAATGCATGTGAGAGTGCTCTTATTTTCTGCTGCTCCTCTGTCCTATGTTATTCTCATCCCATGCTGGCACTCACAGTACCATGGCTAACCACTCAAAGGGTTGTTTCTCACTCAGACAAGAAACAGGCTTTACTAGTTTGTCAAAATAGCAACCTGGGCAGCAATCAACTTGGTAGGTAAGAAGAAATTGATTTTGCCCTCCTATACAATGAGGAACCCAAAGATTTTTAAGATATGGTTTCTGCTCTCAGGTGCATAATTTTATCAAGAAGATAAATCATGTATAAATGTTGACTAGTCAATTAGGTACCATATGATGTAGGATGTGTAACTGATGGAGTAAATGATTGCTGCAGGAATTCATAAAAGGAAGAGGGAACTGGAGCCTGGGAACATCAAATAAATGTTCATCAAGGGTGTGGTTCTTGAGATGCACCATGAAACAATTTGAAGCAATGGAGAGGATGAAGGAGGAAATTCACTTATAGCAGGAATGGCCCTCAAATTCCCAATATGCTAGACTAAGTCAAGTATGCTTTGTAAAAGGCATGTAAAAATATGGGTTCAAAACTTGTCTGCCACTTACTGTGTGAACTTGGACAAGTGACCTCAGCTCTTTGAATCCATTTCCTCATCTGTGCAAATGTGGATAATAATACCCAAATCACAGCATTTTGTAGGGTTAAATGAAATAACTTAGAAGGCACTGAGTTCAGTATCTGGTGCATAGCTTAACAACATAATCTAACTCATTTCCTTTCTGTTCATCATTGCTTTTCATCTCTTTTGATTTAGCAAGTTCCCCTTTTCCCCTTACAGCAGATTTTGTTCCATACAAAGTTTTCCCTTTCCATTATTACTTTGTATCACACCCTTTCAATTCCTGTTATGTTAAAAATTCAGAAAGGGTCATTTTATACAAATGCTTATAAAAGTAACCACAAAACCAACAGTATTTAACTCTACTGCCACAGATTTAAATAAATGTAATATGTAGCCTTTTCACAAGCTCTATTTTAAACCCAAAATACAATATGCTATTTCTCATAATAGTTAAAATGACTACATGTGCTAGAGACTTTGTGTTGCAGACATTATATTTTCTTATCATCTGTGAATATGGTTATTATGATCTGTTGGCTATTTTCTGTTTAAATTGCACAGTGTATAGGGGATTTAGACACAGGGTAATTTAGTCATGTGGCTCTTGTCATAACCCTGTCGGGTCAGAGAAATCTGAGTTCAGCTATTCCAGTGTTTGCTTTACTTCATCCTAGCCCTCAGGATAAAGTGGAGGTGAGGAATTCTGCACCTGTGGAATTAATGAATTGATTGAATTCATATCACAATTAATTGGATAATATAATCACGTTTTCTTCTGGAAATAAGAATCTATCTGCATTTTGAATACCCATCCATAAATGGTAAAATTGTATTTCCTATGAGTTTTGCAGGATGGGCACAAAACATGGAGAATTGCCCACAAAAACATCAGTCAGTTTATAGCTAAATAGGTGTTATGTGCAGTGTAGCAGGTTGGGTTACGAACTGACAAGGAGAGACCAACACACGTGCACACACTCCCACCACACATACACACTTTTTTCTCTCTCTCTCTTTCTAGAGCAGAAACAGGTAGAATATTTTTAATAAAGTTTTTCTCTTGCTCTGGATTCTATATACTTGTTTCATTCCTGTACAGTTAGGATCTTGCTAAGATTGGGAGAGATGGTGAATTCTTGCTACTTGCCTGCTCTTTTCTACTTAAGCTTACATCTCATTATTAACATGAATAATCTATGTGCTTCTGTTTAAGGAATTGTTTAAGTATATCAGATTCCCCTGCATCATGAACCTAACTCAGAATTAGCAATGCTAGCTGGCATAGAAAATGGATTCAGTGCCTGAATGTCTCTGAAAAATATCTTTGCATGCGGCTTCCAAATGTCCCAGAACATCTGCCACCCCAGACTAGATACTCACTAAATCCCACTTTTCCTTTTTATCAAACTATTAGTAGATACTCCATCCTACATTTTCCTTTTCTTTCTGGAATGGAAGGGTGAGAGTGGGCTGCTGGAAAGGTGGTACAATGTAACAAGAACCACTAAGAATTTGTGGAGAGAAAGCTGGCAGTTACAGGCCTCACCCAGCTCCCGTGCAGCCCAAAAGGCTGGTCTTACCACAGCGTGTCCCCCCAACAGCACCAAGTTTATTTCCAGGCAGAGGTGAGCAGGGCTGAGAACTTGCCCCAGGCTACAAGCCTCCCCACTGAGAAGACAAGCAGTACTTTCAGATTTTGCAACTCCCTGCCTGCCATGGCTTTTATGCTCATGTCTACACTCCCAGCTCACCTTCTCCCCCAGGTTCTGTCCAGGAAACTTTGCATTTAGTCTTTCCCCAATTCCAGTGGCAGCCCTCCCCAAGGACTCCTGTGAGATAAAGTAAGAAATGGCTTCCCTGGAGGTCTAGAGTGCCCACAAGGTCCTTCTCGCTGCTTCCTCTACCTCTATATTTTGCCCAGCTCTCTAAATTCATCTCAGGTCCACGTAAGATCAAATCCATCTCCTGTGATCTCAATCTTCAGGTTCCCCAGTGAGGGTGTGTGTTCAGGAGTAGATGATCCCCCTTTCACACTTTAGGCACTCACAGTTTTTCAGCTGCCTCCTGGAGCCTGCAGTAGCAATCTGCTCCCAAATTTTTCTTTTCAGTCAAAAGAACAACACAAAAGTCTCATGTCTAAATGCACGAGTCTCTTCAGTACCCCCTTCTTCCATACCTCTTTTCATTATTTTCCAGCAGATAACTGGTCTCATCAAAAATGAGAAATAAACAGAAAGGAATCATACTAGGGCTTAAGCATAAAACTTCAAAAATGACTATGAGAGAGAGAGAAGAAAAACTCATACAGAAATGAAGAGTTTAGACAAATCATTCACTGTAATTATAAATAATAATTCAAACAGCACAATATCTCTTTTAAAATGAAATATCAAGCTGAAAGAGCTCAGAAAGAAATAGAAGAAACCATGGACAAAAAATAATCTAGGCATAAAAATGTCACACAAAATAAAATAATTACTGAGAAAATGATAGGTATGCAAAAGAGATAAAGCGATCTGATATATAATTGATGTTCATAGTGCAGACAGCAAAACAAATGGAACAGGGGAAAAAATTCAAAAATATAGAAGAAAAGATAAGGAAACAAAAATGGAACTGAAAGATTGAAATTGATGATCGCCATGTACCACCAAAAAAAAATGTAGACAATTATCAAAGTTAGAATATATCTCTGGAATATTTGATATAAAAATTTGACAAAAAATGAACAATTCCAAGATATATTTAGAAAAGTTGCAAAACTACAAGGATTTAAAAAGTTATAAGGGATTGGCAGAAAAGGCAGGATACATATAATCCCAAGCAAGGAAGTAGACAAAATTGTGAACCTGCCAATTAATTTATTCACATTTATAGCACGGTCTAATGTGGAAGCACATATTTAAATGTAAACAAACAAAGAAATAAAGAGTGCTATAAGCTTCATGCATTTATTTAGCTTCAGGGAGATATATTAAAATGTAAGCACTTCCTCTTGTTTTAGAGAAACATTTATCCAAAGTCTTTTGCTTCAGGTAATTCAGCAATTACTTTAAATTTCAGAGAATTTTACTTCTGTTAAATGGGATTAAAATTAAATTTAATGCTTATAAATTGAGTGTATATTCTAATGCCTTTATTTTTCAAAAAATAACTTTAAAACCTATCTGTACACAAGGATAGAAAGATGTTTGAAATGTTATCAAATGTTGGTTATTCCTTGGTTGTGAAATGGAATCATGTTGTTTTTTATTCTTTATACTTTCTTCTCTATGTTTTCATACTTTTCTGTATTTTTTAGTTTTTACATAGATTGTTTTTATGAAAATTATAATTATGTATTTTGTGCACATGTACCCTAAAACTTAAAGTATAATAATAAAAAAAAGAAATAAATAGTAACAGACTGGGGTATCCTGTCTTAATCTCTGACTACCTGTTTTAATGATAGAAATGAGTTTTGAAATGTTTTCTCTGCAAATAAGAAATAATTTGCATGTATTTAGTGTATCCATTATGAGAGTCTCATCAATGTCTGCTGACAGGTGTCATGACCACAAGCATTAATTAAACTATGGGGTCTATACACAAAAAGGCCACCCTAAGAATCACATCAGATGGAAGACGTGACAACACAGGCAACTCAAGTGTCAACCCTCTATAACTGTCAACTCAAGGATTAAAATATTTCCAACATCAGTGTGTTTTATTATGTCCCTTTTTGTTACTCATTTATACAGTACTCTGAGGCACACTGAATAATATTTTATCTTTATCTATTTCTATTCAGGAAACTGAAGCTAGCCTAGTAATAGTCACACTTTAATATCAATCTATATTTATAGCAAAAGACTCAGTGTACAGGTTACAAAAAATCAGTGAATTGTGTGAGTTGATTTTTGATGATTGCCATGATCCTATAGTTACACTGTACATGCCCAAATCAGAATACTTTTCTTAATCCTTTAGCAATTATCTTAACTGAGATTCTCATAATCCTAGCTAAGATGGGGGGAGTCTCCTAAATGACCCTCTTGTTCTTTTCCCCAAGCCCCATTCCCATTGATCCTCTACAGTGTACCATTCCAGAATAATTTTTCTGAAAGTCAAATCTGTTTCTCTTGCCTCTATTCTTAAAAAAGTTATTTAATAAGTACCCATTGCCTTTCCTTTACAATCTAAATCCTGCTATATTATAGAAAGTTCATTATGACCTGGTTCCTCCCTCCCTATGTAAATCAATTTTAGAGGGGAATAATGTTTCCCCACTTGGAGTGGACATGAGGAAGGATTATTCTTCAGCATAGGCCTAGCCTCTCTCCACACTTTACATAGTCCCGTGAGAGGTAGAGATGTGATTGGTAAATCTGGGGAGAATAAACTAGAATATGCATGGCAAGCATCATTTCTTCTTGATCTGGGAAGCGAGCTGCTCCTGAGCACCATGACTTCTACCCCTCCTCTGGGTCTTTGTTTGCCATGGTCCCTTCCTTCTTTCACTGGGCCAAGAAATCAAATCCATCCTGGGCTTCAGAATTACCGAATTTATTTGGCTACCAAACCTAAAACCACATGCTCAGTCTGGCCTCTATTAGTAGAAAACAAACAAACAAAAAGAAATATTTTTCCCCCATTTGCTACTTTTGATTTATTTCCCAACTACTTTTTAAGAATCCAGGTGGAAAAGAAGGGTGCTGTTCTCTGGATGCCTCCTCCAAAAACCCCAATAAAATCTCACATTTTATGGAGGGATTACATTTGGTCAAAGACTGCATTGCTGAGTGCTGTAGTATGGGTTGTATCATTGAGTTATGACAGCTCTCCATCTCTACACAGCTTCCTCCTCTGGGCCCTTGCCTCCGTGGGGTTCCTCAACCTCTCTCACCACCCCATGTCCTCAACCTCCATGTCATCTCCTCCTAGCTACAAAGGAAAGGGAAGATTCCATATTTTATTTTGCAAAATAATAATAAAATACAAATTTTAGGATAAATCAAGAAATAGAACTTGTAAAGTGGTCACATAGGCTGATTTCCTATGAAATGTTAAGTTCAAGCAATATTTAGTTGTTATACACACTTTTTAAAACTTTTGGCTGAAATGTTTAAATATTCGGTGATGCAAGTGGTTCTGGGCCCTGAAGCTTATGTTTCTAGCATGGTGGTTAAGGATAGGATTAGAAGAAAGGGATTTCCTGACTATAACTAAGCTACTTGGGGGAATTTTTAATCCAGAGTTCCTTCTTGGCAACAAAAGAACATTCCCAGTCTTTTGATTTTTCCCTGGTATACAATTTTAGGGCCTCGGTGAAAATGAATTTTATATATTTTTATTATTATTATTTTGAGACACAGTCTCACTCTGTCCCCAGGCTGGAGTGCAGTGGTGCGTTTTGGTTCACTGCAAGCTCTGCCTCCCGGGTTCAAGTGATTCTCCTGCCTCAGCCTCCTGAGTAGCTGGGATTACAGGCACGTGCCACCATGCCCAGCTAATTTTTGTACTTTTAGTAGAGATGGGGTTTCACCATGTTGGCCAGGATGGTCTCGATCTCCTGACCTCATGATCCGCCTGCCTCAGCCTCCAAAGTGCTGGGATTACAGGCCTGAACCACGATGCCTGGCCATGAATTATATTTTTTATCGTGGTAAAATCCAATTAGAACTTGACCCCTGGTAAAATAACATTATATGTTTCTTTTTAATTGTTTTTGCAGACAAAGGACATAATGTCTCCCTAAATAAATTAGAGAAACATGCTTATCAAAAGAGTAAACAAGTGTGATTCCTTAAAAAAAGGAGTTTCATAGAAGGTTTTTACTTATTATTTGTTATCATTTAGCATATATTTGCAGGCAGATTATAGGGAAAGGAAGAGTTATGTTGGGTGACCTTGCTTAAGAATAATTGTCTTATTGCTTAAATATAAGACATCAATATAAATATTGCTTAAATATAAATATCAATTGCTTAAAAATAATTGATATTATTTTTACTACCCTTTGTTCCCATGAAAGGACATGTTATTGCATCATTACATGATGAGTGCCTGAATGTTCAGTTCAATGTAGCAGTTTTCCAGAATCTCATAAAACATCATATTTCCCTTCTTTTCTGATTCTTAGTCCTATTTTTTTTCTGTTATGTTTCTGATACAGGGTTCATGACAAAAAGTGAATTCTATAATTGCTGAAATAAAAAATACCATTAATAAATATATTTACGGAGCAATAAAAATAGACTCAAGTAAGAATAAAGTTATTTTTACTGCTCTTCCATATTTGAAGCAATATTTAATATTAAGCTATAGCATAATAAATAAGAAATAAGAGGAAAACTACATATATGTATTCTAAAAAATAAAACATTAGAGGTGTATTAATATCTTAAGATAATTAGATGTATAAGAGATTTTTTATTTCTTGCAATAAATAGTAAAAACTTCATATTAAAAATCTATGTTTAATTGCTCTGTTAAAGTATATTAGAAACCAGAAACTTAGCATTCTTATTTCATTAATTTTGTTTAAAACATTCAGAGAGAAAATGTATAGGAACAGCACACAGCCAAATAACTCGTAATTTGTAATAAGTGAGACAAACCTTTTCCAAGGAAATATAGTTTCAAAATTGAATCAATATCTTATTTTAGTTATTTTTTTCCATTAAAATTGAAATTAGTAGCAATTGTCAGCCATCAAGACAATATTTCAACTTAATCTGAAAGTGTCGCTTTCTGAAAGCAGAATATCAAGGCAGTAGCAGCAGAATGGACTGGGAACTTTCTTTTTTTTTAATTTATACTTTTTTTATTATACTTTAAGTTTTAGGGTACATGTGCACAATGTGCAGGTTTGTTACATATGTATACATGTGCCATGTTCGTGTGCTGCACCCATTAACTCATCATTTACATTAGGTATATCTCATAACGCTATCCCTCCCACCTCACCCCACATCACGACAGGACCCCGTGTGTGATGTTCCCCTTCCTGTGTCCATGTTCTCATTGTTCAATTCCCACCTATGAATGAGAACATGCCATGCGGTGTTTGGTTTTTTGTCCTTGCAATAGTTTGCTGAAAATGATGGTTTTCAGCTTCATCCATGTCCCTACAAAGGACATGAACTTACCATTTTTTATGACTGCATAGTATTCCATGGTGTATATGTGCCACATTTTCTTAATCCAGTCTATCATTGTTGGACATTTAGGTTGGTTCCAAGTCTTTGCTATTGTGAATAGTGCCACAATAAACATACATGTGCATGTGTCTTTATAGCAGCATGATTTATATTCCTTTGGGTATATACCCAGTAATGGGATGGCTGGGTCAAATGGTATTTCTAGTTCTAGATCCCTGAGGAATCGCCACACTGACTTCCACAATGGTTGAACTACTTTAGAGTCCCACCAATAGTGTAAAAGTGTTCCTATTTCTCCACATCCTCTCCAGCACCTGTTGTTTCCTGACTTTTTAATGATTGCCATTCTAACTGGTGTGAGATGGTATCTCATTGTGGTTTTGATTTGTATTTCTCTGATGGCCAGTGATGATGAGCATTTTTTCATGTGTTTTTTGGCTGCATAAATGTCTTCTTTTGAGAAGTGTCTGTTCATATCCTTTGCCCACTTGTTGATGGGGTTGTTTGTTTTTTCTTGTAAATTTGTTTGAGTTCATTGGAGATTCTGGATATTAGCCCTTTGTCAGATGAGTAGATTGCAAAAATTTTCTCCCATTCTGTAGGTTGCCTGTTCACTCTGATGGTATTTTCTTTTGCTGTGCAGAAGCTCTTTAGTTTAATTAGATCCCATTTGTCAATTTTGGCTTTTGTTGCCATTGCTTTTGGTGTTTTAGACATGAAGTCCTTGCCCATGCCTATGTCCTGAATGGTATTGCCTAGGTTTTCTTCTAGGGTTTTTATGGTTTTAGGTCTAACATTTAAGTCTTTAATCCATCTTGAATTAATTTTTCTTTAAGGTGTAAGGAAGGGATCCAGTTTCAGCTTTCTACATATGGCTAGCCAGTTTTCCCAGCACCATTTATTAAATAGGGAATCCTTTCCCCATTGCTTGTTTTTGTCAGGTTTGTCAAAGATAAGATAGTTGTAGATGTGTGGCATTATTTCTGAGGGCTCTGTTCTGTTCCATTGGTCTATATCTCTGTTTTGGTACCAGTACCATGCTGTTTTGGTTACTGAAGCCTTGTAGTATAGTTTGAGGTCAGGTAGCGTGATGCCTCCAGCTTTGTTCTTTTGGCTTAGGATTGACTTGGCAATGCTGGCTCTTTTTTGGCTCCATATGAACTTTAAAGTAGTTTTTTCCAGTTCTGTGAAGACAGTCATTCTTCACATTCATTGGCATTGAATCTACAAATTACCTTGGGCAGTATGGCCATTTTCACGATATTGATTCTTCCTACCCATGAGCATGGAATGTGCTTCCGTTTGTTTGTATCCTCTTTTATTTCATTGAGCAGTGGCTTGTAGTTCTCCTTGAAGAGGTCCTTCACATCCCTTGTAAGTTGGATTCCTAGGTATTTTATTCTCTTTGAAGCAACTGTGAATGGGAGTTCACTCATGATTTGGCTCTCTGTTTGTCTGTTATTTGTGCATAAGAATGCTTGTGATTTTTGCACATTGATTTTGTATCCTGAGACTTTGCTGAAGTTGCTTATCAGCTTAAGGAGATTTTGGGCTGAGACGATGGGGTTTTCTAGATATACAATCATGCCATCTGCAAACAGAGACAATTTGACTTCCTCTTTTCCTAATCGAATACCCTTTATTTCCTTCTCCTGCCTGATTGCCCTGGTCAGAACTTCCAACACTATGTTGAATAGGAGTGGTGAGAGAGGGCATCCCTGTCTTGTGCCAGTTTTCAAAAGGAATGCTTCCCGTTTTTGCCCATTCTGTATGATATTGACTGTGGGTTTGTCATAAATAGCTTTTATTATTTTGAAATATGTCCCATCAATACCTAATGTATTGAGAGTTTTTAGCATGAAGGGCTGTTGCATTTTGTCAAAGGCCTTTTCTGCATCTATTGAGATAATCATGTGGTTTTTGTTGTTGGTTCTGTTCATATGCTGGATTACGTTTATTGATTTGCATATGTTGAACCAGCCTTGCATCCCAGGGATAAAGTTCAGTTGATCATGGTGGATAAGCTTTTCGATGTGTTGCTGGATTTGGTTTGCCATTATTTTATTGAGGATTTTTGCATCGGTGTTCATCAGGGATATTGGTCTAAAATTCTCTTTTTTTGTTGTGTCTCTTCCAGGCTTTGGTATCAGGATGATGCTGGCCTCATAAAATGAGTTAGGGAAGATTCCTTCTTTTTCTATTTATTGGAATAGTTTCAGAAGGAAGGGTACTTTCTCCTCCTTGTACCTCTGGTAGAATTCAGCTGTGAATCTGTCTGGTCCTGGACTTTTTTTGGTTGGTAAGCTATTAATTATTGCCTCAATTTCAGAGCCTGTTATTGGTCTATTCAGAGATTCAATTTCTTCCTGGTTTAGTTTGGGAGGGTGTACATGTCCAGTAATTTATCCATTTCTTCTAGATTTTCTGGTTTATTTCCATAGAGGTGTTTATAGTATTTTCTGATGGTAGTTTGTATTTCTGTGGGATCGGTGGTGATATCCCCTTTATCATTTTTTATAGCATCTACTTGATTCTTCTCTCTTTTCTTCTTTATTAGTCTTGCTAGTGGTCTACCAATTTTGTTGATCTTTTAAAAAAACCAGCTCCTGGATTCATTAATTTTTTGAAGGGTTTTTTGTGCCTCTATTTCCTTCAGTTCTCCTCTGATCTTAGTTATTTCTTGCCTTCTGCTAGCTTTAGAATGTGTTTGCTCTTGCTTCTCTAGTTCTTTTAATTGTGATGTTAGGGTGTCAATTTTAGATCGTTCCTGCTTTCTCTTGTGGGCATTTAGTGCTATAAATTTCCCTCTACACACTGCTTTAAATGTGTCCCAGAGATTCTGGTATGTTGTGTCTTTGTTCTCGTTGGTTTCAAAGAACATCTTTATTTCTGCCTTCATTTCATTATATACCCACTTTTCATTCAGGAGCAGGTTGTTCAGTTTCCATGCAGTTGAGTGGTTTTGAGTGAGTTTTTAAGTTTTTAAACTCTGAGTTCTAGTTTGATTGCACTGTGGTCTGAGAGATAGTTTGTTATAATTTCTGTTATTTTACATTTGCTGAGGAGTGCTTTACTTCCAACTATGTGGTCAATTTTGGAATAAGTGTGGTGTAGTGTTGAGAAGAATGTATATTCTGTTGATTTGGGGCGGAGAGTTCTGTAGGTGTCTTTTAGGTCCGCTTGGTGCAGAGCTGAGTTCAATTCCTGGATATCCTTGTTAACTTTCTGTCTCGTTGATCTGTCTAATGTTGACAGTGGGGTGTTAAAGTCTCCCATTATTATTGTGTGGGAACTTTCTATTAGATTAGTCATCAAGTTAGAGATTGAAGAGATCATTTATTTCTTCCAAAATAAATGATATCCCTCTAGCGAAAATACAATTTATAAATTAGTATCTACTAACAGTAATCAGATACTTTTAGTATGAAAAGTAATCAGATACGTTTAGTATGAAAAGTAATCAGATTCTTGACCTTAGTCAAATTACTGAGAAGTTAAATGTAAAACTAACCTTAATGTCTAAACACATGCAGACATTATTGCTTTTGTAGAAAATACTTCTAGGCCAGGCAGAAATAATAGGTCTGAAATGTGACAAAACCCATTACCTGACTCCTCTCAGCAGATGGTCAGGAATGCAGAGGTAAAGGCAGGCAATTGCAGGACTATTAGTCTCTCAACATGGCTGGATAGACATCAAATCGATTACAACCCAAGCTAAGCAAATCCATGCCACTTCAATCAGTGCTATTTTCAGTAGCTGTGCAAAAGCTGTTTGATGATGATATGCCAACTTTTAGCTTATTAGGTATGACTATAATTTGCACAAAACAATGTATGATATTGTGCTGAAAACAACACATCTACATGGTAGATCTAAATTTCTGAGATTGGACTGAGATTTCTTTTCATTCCTGTTATTGATCTAATGCCAACCTTCCTGAGTTTCAAGTTTATTTTCTGCCAGTATGTTGCCAAATATCAGGCAGGTTAAGAAGATGATATTTTTCCAAAATTAAGATTCACAGAAAATACGATTCTATAAAACCTCAAATAATAACATTACAATTTATAATACACTATTTACACAAAAGAAGTAGTGTTCATTCAAATTAAAAGAACCTGTCTAAATTTGATAAGAGAAAATGATTTTCAACGGAATGTCTTATAAACTCTTGAATGTGTTTGAGTATATTGCAGCTATCCATTAAGAATAGCAAAAGTTAAAAGATATTGATTTGCTTTTACAAGTAAGGGTTTATTTTCTTTTACTTGGCTTCATAGGCAATGAAATTATGGTCAACTTTGTGCTCTCATGGATTTGGATAGAAAAGAACTTCTGAGTGCCCTTTTCTCACCCTTCACTCTTTCTGCCTCCACTTCTTAATTTGAGTAAGAACCTCTTCTGCTTGACTGTTAGATACAAGTGTTTGTGTTTTTATGCTATGCCATTAAAACATTTTTATTTATCAATTTATTCACTCAAAAATCCATTTTTGCTATTGGGCAACTGTTCTGGGACAGGAAATGCCCTGCTTATCCATAAGGTCTATTTTAGAAGATGCTACAGGATCAGCGCTGGCTACCTAATTTGCAAGTGCAGTGCAAATTGAAAACATGAGGTCCTTTGAACAAAAATTATTGAGATTTTTAAGAACATTAACCAAGGGTAGGGCAATTGTACAGACTGCGTGCCCATCAAGCTGGCCCTGCAGGTGATTTTAGCACTGAGCTTTCTTTATTTTTTTCAGTGTGAAAAAACCTCATGATTTATGTCTGCTTAGAATTTTTTTAAAACTATGGAATAACATCAAAGGACAACAATGCCCTTTACTAATAGTATATATGTTTATATTTATGTACACATTATTTATTTAATTCAGAAGCACATGTTTCCAGGAAGGGTCAGTGATGCTTTTGCATAATGCCGTTATACAAAATTTCTTTTCTTTCTTTCTTTTTTTTTTTTGCTTACAGAACTAAATGCTTCAGAGATAAAGAAGCACAAATGGTGGTCTGTATAATTTGATTCTAGGGTCCCTTCCACATTAAGAATAATTCCTTTCTCTGATATGAATAAATAGCCAATTAAACAAACAACCAACCTACAAGACCTGTGATATTAAGCGTGGAAGTACGGTCAACTATAAACACAGCATAGAAAGATCTTTGTTTCTAGAAACAAATCAAACTCAGAATAAGGTGAATTTAAACTGCATTTATTGATTCAACAAATATTTAATTAAGTCCCTCCAATGTATCAGGCATTCTTCTAGGTGTTGGGAATACAGGTGGGACCAAAACAGACAAAGATGTTTGTCCTCATGGAGCTCAAAATCTAATAATTGATAGCACAAAAAATAATCATGAAGCTGACACCCATGTATAAATTTGTAATCTTTCTTTACTACTTATTTTATGAGAGAGCACTGAATCCTAACCACTAGACCACCAGGGAAACTACTAATTTTAAAAGAAGGTTTTCTTAGAAGGCAAACACTGGGAATCTCTATTCATTTATTCATTCAACAAAAACAAGTTCTGGATCTTAAAATTTAGGATTTGCTCTATAATTATGCAGTCACAATAGTAAACTATATTGTTACTGTAAGAAAAGTAATTTTGACTGCATCCTAGGCTTATCTCACAATTCTGTCTTATTTCACAGTTCTGTCTTATCAATGCCTTCAAAAAGTTTAATTGTCCTATCCAGGGATTGCCAATATGTGACAGTTACACCACTATTTTTCTTTCCTTTGCCCCTGATAAAGGACACTAACAGATTTGATCTCCTTTATCCTCTGAAATTAAAGATAGCTTGGCAAAAATCTGCTAAGGTTAACCTTCAGCCTTCTACAATAAATCCTATAATTGGCTAATAAGGTAAAACCTAATTGCCATTTTTTGCTAAGCCTGGAATTCAAAGCCCACAGTTGATCTCTGAATGGTAGGCATAATATTTAGGAAGAATGATAAATTTATGAACAAGCTGTATTACTGAAGGTAATCTAACTACTATAAATAACAGTTCTAAAATCTTGGCTTAATAAAATGCAGATTAATTTTTTATTCACTTCATAAGCAGCTTGCCAGAGGATTGGGGGTGTGTGGTAGGGCTCTACTCCATGCAGTTACTCAGGGAACTAGTTTGTTTTTTTTGTTTTTTTTTTTTTTCCCCAATGCCACCATTCCCTGTGGCCTTAAAGTCTTCCACTGAATCTTCCTTCTAGAGCTATGGGAATGGGGAAAGAAGAGTATTAAAACCTGGCAAGAGGGCTTTTTAAGTGTCAGGCCTGTAGGTGGAATATTTTATTTTTGCCCGCATTCCATTGGTCAGAACTCAATCATAGGCTCATTCTTCCCAATGCAAGGAATGTTAAGAAATACAACCTGTCTATGTGCCCAAGAAAGAAATGAAATGAGATTTGAGGAATACATTGCATGACTCTACCACATCAGCCTCAAGCAGAGGTAAGATTATGATGTATTATGTCAATGTGAACTTCATTTACTACCAATAAATAATTCTCAGCTTATAGCACCCAGTCACTTAATAATACATTGAATTCAGCATTAGTAACAGTATTGAAAGGAGTTAGCCAGCTTGCTTTGGGCAGACAGTAAGGGAAGGGTCCCTGGAGAACCATCAACCCACCTCAAAAGTGCTTATACCAGGTGTTTTATGCAGATAAGGGAACTTGCACAAAGGGCTTGCCTAAACATGCCCAAAGTGGAAAACTTAGTTCCTTAACACATGCGCAGTAAGAGAAATGAATCAATATGGAGTAGCTCAGTCTAAGGGCCCACATACGCACAGGAAGGATGGTGTGGAGCCACCAGGAACTCACACCATAAGCCCGGGTATTGAACTGTAAAGGGGACAACTGGCAACCTGCTTTTCAGGTCCCCTCTCTTTGCTGAGAGTTTTCCTTTCACTTAATAAATTCTACTCCACCCATTCTCTAGGGTCTGCATGCTTAATTCTTCCTGGTCATGAGACAAGAACTTGGACCTAGCTTAACTAAGGAGTAGAAATCCTGCATTATTTTGGTGGCCCATATGGAGACACCTGGAGGGTGAGTAAATGCAGACCCAAACCTTTCACTCTCATCCCCAAGTCTTTTCATCTTCAACCTTTTTTCTGAAGTTGGCCAAGACCCTCAGACTTTTCTATGGATTTTTCCTTCCTTTCTTCATGGTTGGAAATGGCCCCTATCTTTTCTTTTATAATGTTAAAAGTGCTGCTGCAAACTGCAGAGATATTACTACGTAGAATGAGCATTTGGCCCAGCCATCAGATATGCAATTCAGAACAATGTGATTTCCATCTGTTCCTAAAGGCATCCCCCACCCACACCCCAACAGCCAAGGGTATGCATGCAGGACAGACGGGTGAGCGGCGGCTCCCCAACTGCACCAGGTGGGGTGCATGGCCATGTCTGCCACATGCATATGCTGCATCCAATGACCATGTGGGGCAGGAATGAGACACAGCCACCACTCATCCCCAGGGTGGTCTTGGGGGCCAAGAGCTCCATGCAGCCAGCTGGTCAGTTTTTCCTGCTCACCATCCCCTCCCACCATGTGCCCACAGAGGCTTTCCTTCCCTGGCCAAGCCAAGAAGAGGATAAAACAATTAAGAGTTTCTCTCCCTGTTGGAGGAGCCCATTTGCATAAAGCAAGAGGCTTTTTGTCCCCCAGACATCTTCCCCACACTTAAGCTGTTTTTTCATCTTATTTTGTTTTTCTCTTTTCTCCACCATACCAACCATACCAGGAGTTAGCACATGCACATAGCCCTGTGAATACAGGGAGCTTTTCTATGAGAGAGGTTTTTTTTTTGTTTTTTGTTTTTTTTTTCCCTACCTTAACACTCTGCTTATGATAGGGAAGCAATGGAGGAGTGACCCCATAGGCTGCTGGCTGCAAATTTGGTGACAGCCATCTGTGACATAATCTAAATTAATTCATGTATCCCCTGAGGTACGCTTTTGTCCCAAACTCAATTCCAGGCTTTGGGTTGAAACCATAAGAGGGAAAACTGGATCTAAGGGATGCAGAGGGAGGCAACAACAGAAGATGGGGCACAACGCAGGTGAGCATGACTAATTCTTACTGGATAGGCCCTCCCACTTCATGGTTGAAGGTTATACTTGCATGCATGGCATAGACAAGATCTAGGAACTCAAAAGTTACTCACAGCAGGGAAGAGGCAGTGCATGGGCAAATATGGATAACTCCCACCCCTTAGGCCTCACTGTTAACATGGGTGAAAGCTGTGTTGGCATCCATGGGCAGCACCCTACTGAGGTCACCAGGACTTGGGGATATAAAATGGGAGAAAGAAGGGGGATGCCTCTTCTTCTCTCCCTCACATACTTTGGCTATTTGCTTGGAAGATAAAGGAACTAGGGATTCCTTGTTCCCCTCTTTCTAGATGGTTAGCCAATCATCTTCAGTCTGTATTTTTCTCAAATACCTCATGAATCCCTGGGACTCCTTTGGATAAAACACATTCTTTTTTCTCCTCTGTTTTCCTTTTGCAGATGAATAATTGTGTCCCTGTACCACAGGACACTCCTCCTCAGATGCATACCCAAATTGGGAAAAGTTAATTTCTCTAAACCTTAAACTACTTGGCTTAAAATTGAACTCAGGGGAAGGGAACACAGAAGCCAGACACGCCAGCAAAAGTGTAAAAGTTCTTAACAGTCAGACTTCTGGTCTCCCTCTCCCTGTGCAAACCAGTTGAATGAATAATATAATCACAGTTTATATCCTCTGTAAAGTTTTAATTAATGAAAAAAAGGATTTATGAGGCTAGTCTTAAGCTGTGGTGAATCTGTTGTACTTTGTGCCAAGAATTTGTCTTTCTCTATCTTTCTATCAGAAAGAGGAGTACCTTAGGATAGAATGCATCCCTAGAAACCGATAAGCCCTCTATTCAAGCCAGCCCAGCAAACTGGTCAGTAACAAACTTTGCTGCAGGTCTCCATCTTGTTTTATGTCCTTGGGAGCATAACCTGTAACAACATGGCAGTACTTTGTTTTGGTCTCTGCCATTTTACAATGGTGACCTGGGTTCAATCCTGGCTTAGGGAATGAGTACTTTTTGGTTAATATCTGTGTGACTTTTGTCATTTGCTGATTCTCTTCCCCTGCATGAACAACTTATAGCTTCCTTTCTTAAGTCTTCCTTCCTCTGAAATACCTTTAAATATTCTGGATTTTGTAAAATCTGCTTACCACCTCTTTGAAGGTACCCTGTACACTTGCTGTTAAGTCATAGCCTTAGTTGAGACTTGTTGGTTTCACCTGTGGTTTCTGACTCACAATTTAATATCAGGAAGGAGGCCTGGAGAGGGCCAAATTCTATTGACTGATGTCCAGCCCTTAGAAAACACTTGTTGATCAACAGTTTTGCTGCTCTACTCATTAGGTGTAGCTGTTAGAGAATAAGAAATTGATTAAAATTGCTGGGCAAGAATGTGAAAAATGATTGGCTTACTGTGAGATGCAAGAGAAAAAGATCAGCAGGTGGCAGTGTGTGTGAAAGCTGTTTTCTAAATAAAATAGAAAGCATTTTAAGGCTACTCCCAAGAGAAAAGTAGCTGATGAAAGTCATACATTCCAACACAATGGGCCTGGGGAATAATATTTTTTAGATTAAAAACATTGTTTATTTTTTTCCATTTGCAGTGGAAAAAATCTTGTTTTAAAGAATACATTAAGAGCCCTAAACCACGTTTTCAATTAGGTGGTTTAGAAGACTAGTAGGGAGGCAAAATGTACCAATTTCAGAAACTAATTTTATTCATTCTCAAAATTCCATTATGATAGTACTTTATTATATACTCTGAAATTAAATTTAAAAAAGAAACTCTTTATTAAGAGAGAAATAAAAGAAATCTTACATATACTCACAAATATTTCATTTCCTGAGAAAATACACAATAAAATTTGTGTTTTATTTTTTAGCCAAATAATTTTTCTTTAATTTACATTTATGCAAAGTAGCAAGCCCACAGGTGATCCAATTCTCTCATTTTAAAGAGAAAAAACAGAAGTGAAATGTTTTCTCAAATCACAAAATGAAGTAATACAACTGAAACTCTAGAATGTGAATTCACAGTTCTTTTTACTGAAAATACTAAGCTCAAATGAGATTTTTTTTAAAGTGTTGCTTTGTGTCTATAGTCAGCAGATGATGGATACTAATTATAATTTTACATATTTTAATTTACACATTATTTGCATTCGATTATATTTCAGATACAAACTGTAAATCCAAGCATACAATGTAAAATGAATATTTTCATTAAATCTTCTCCAGTAGAATTTTAAATATAATTGTCTAGACACCTCTGAAAATATGCCACAGATAATTTTATCACAAGAAAAGTGTGACAATTTAAAGTAAAGAGTAAGGCTCTTTTACCCCCTTCTCAGAATTCAGAGCTATGATTCTAAGAGACTTGAATGGTGGGACTCAGTATAGCTATAAGCTATAATCAGGTTTAAAGGGGAAAATCAATATAACAGTTCCTAAAATTAGGGAAACAAATAGTAGTCTTATAAAACAAACAATCTCTGGAGAACAGACGTGAATTATCTGTCAAGCACACAACACATTTTCAGGATAAAATTGTGCAGAATACAATAGTAGAACAGAGTTTCCTCTGGAGTAGTAGCACAAATGAGAACTACAAAGAATTGACAATTTAGCTTGAGCAAATCTGAATCGTATTCAAATGCATTTCCTCTGTTTATAAAAACACATTCCTTACCATTAAGGAGCTCATAGTCTAGTTGGGAGACTAATGTATTTGAAACAGTAATGGATGTTTTCTTCCTTTTCTAGTGTTTTTAACTCTCCCCTCCATTTGTGCAATAATATGATCTTGTAACATACAAGCTTCAAGGAAGATTTATTACTGTAGAGTATGTAAATGTTTTCAAAAGCCTAGCCTGTGAGGGAACTCAGAGCAAAGAAATCCAATGAGTTAGAGCTAAATTCCCTGCCTTCAAGACAGAATATAAATTCCATAGGTTCCAAGGAGGGAAACTTGACTGAACAGGGAGGAAACAGTAGGGGTTGGCAGGGATGAAAGATCTATAGAGCTTAACGTGGGGTAACCAGATCTTCAGGGGTTCTGCTGGGAGGAGTCGAATCAGCCACCTTGCCTCCAGCTCTGGTCCAATTTAGATCACCTTAATCTACAACCTGTCTGATAGCCTCACTGGGCAGCTGCCTACCATTGTGAGAGCTGTGGACTCCACAATTCTGGGGAGTTACTATTCAAATAAATTATAATATGAATGCCACTCCCTGAGGTTTGTCACCATACAGAACAACCCTACAAGTCTCATGGGTGCCAATGTAGCCCTTGAAGATTGCCCAGTTTCTATCCACGGCACATTGCCTATGGTTAAAAATCATGTTATGTGTCCTTTCAGGTGGCATCTGGTGAGCTTTTTCTTTGGTGGCAACCAGCTACACCTCATCCCTTGACCATCCAGTAGGCTGTCTGTGCCCTAAAACTTTATTGACTACTTGAGCCATCATCCAATTTAATTTCAATTCAACATTCAAAGACACATACAGCTATACAATTTTGTAATGCTGTTATAGAATTAAGAATAAGATGGATAAAAATGCATAGGAAGTAACTTTACCTTGTGTTAGTGATAAGAGATTAGGGAAATTTTTAAGAAAAATTGTGGAAAGACCAGGGAAATTTTAAAAATAATTGTCATCTGAATTGAGTTTTCAATCTTCATAAAGTTTTGCAGCTTTCCAGCGTTTAATTCTACAATTAGCAATTGTTATAACCTTTGTATGTGCCAAGCATTGTTCTAAATGTTTTGGAAGAGAATAGTATGAAATAATAACATGTCCTTAAAGAGAAGGGGACAAGTAGTAATTAAAAGTGCAATCTCTGGGGCTGGGTTACCTAGATTTGTATTCTGGCATCCACTTCTTAATAGCTCTGAAATCTTAGGCAAGTTTCATGTCCTCTGTTTGCTTCAGTTTTCTCATGCATAAAATCTAACTACATAAGACATATAAAAAACATGCAAATCAAACTTCTAATGATAAAAACTATCATGTCTAGGATGAAAAATGCATCCAATAAGATAAACAATGAATTGGGCTTTGCCAAATGATATGGTTTCGCTGTGTCCCCACCCAAATCTCATCTTGAATTGTAGCTCCCATAATTCCCATGTGTTTTGGGAGGAAACCAGTGGGATATAATTGAATCATAGGGGCAGTTCCCCCATAATGTTCTCATGGAACTGAATAAGTCTCATGAGACCTGCTGGTTTTATAAGAGGTTTCCCCTTTTGCTTGGGTCTCTAATTCTCTCTTGCCCACTGCCATGTAAGACATGCCTTTTATCTTCTGCCATGATTCTGAGGCCTCCCCAACCATGTAGAACTGTTAGTCCATTAAACCTCTTTTTTTTTCTTTTTTATAAATTACCCAATCTCAAATATGTCTTTATCAGCAGTGTGAAAATGGACTAATGCAGTAAATTGGTACCAGTAGAGTGGGTCACTGCTGTAAAGATACTCAAAAATGTGGACACCACTGTGGAACTGGGTAATATGTGGAGGTTGGAACAGTTTGGAGACCTTAGAAGAAGACAGGAAAATGTGGGAAAGTTTGGAACTTCCTAGAGACTTGTGAAATGACTTTGACAAAAATGCTGATAGTGATATGAAAAATAAGGTCCAGGCTAAGTTGGTCTCAGATGGAGATAAGAAACTTGTTTGGAACTGTAGCAGAGGTGAATTTTGCTACATTTTAGCAAAGAGACTGGCAGCATTTTGTCCCTGCCCTAGAGATTTGTGGAACTTTGAATGTAGGGTATCTGGTGGAAGAAATTTCTAAGCAGCAAAGCCTTCAAGAGGTGACTTGGGTGTTGTTAAAAGCATTCAGTTTTAAAAGGGAAATAGAACAAAAAGTTCAGAAAATTTGCAGCCCGATGATGCAATAGAAAAGAAAAGCCTATTTTTCTAAAGAGAAATTCAAGCCACCTGCAGAAATTTGCATAAGTAACAAGCCAAATGCTAATTGCCAAGCCAATAGGGAAAATGTCTCCAGGGTATGTCAGAGACTTTTGCAGCAGCCCCTCCCATCATAGGCCCAGTGGCCTAGGAGGAAAATATGATTTTGTGGGCCAGGCCCAGGGTCCCCATTCTGTGTGCAGCCTAAGGACTTGGTGCCCTGCTTCCCAGCTGCTCTATCCATGGCTAAAAGGGGCCAAGGTACAGCTCAGGCAGTGGCTTCAGAAGGTGCAAGACACAAGCCTTGGCAGCTTGCGCATGGTATTGAGCCTTTGGGTGTATGTAAGTCAAGAATTGAGGTTTGGGAACCTCCACCTAGATGTCAGAGGATGTATGGAAATGCCTGAATGCCCAGGCAGAAGTTTCCTGCAGGGGTGTGATCCTTAAGGAGAACCTCTGCTAGGGTAGTGCAGAAGGGAAATGTGGTGTCAGAGGCCCCACACAGAGTCCCTACTGGGCCACTGCTGAGCGGAGTTGTGAGAAGAAGGTCACTGTCCTCCAGACCCCAGAATGGCAGATCCACTGACACCTTGTACTGTGCACCTGGAAAAGCTGCAGGCCATGCCACCCATGAAATCCAGGAGGGGGGCTATACTCTGCAAAGCCACAGGGGTGATCTGCCCAAGGCCGTGGGAGCCTACCACTTGCATCAGCATGACCTGGATGTGAGACATGGAGCCAAAGGAGATCATTTTGGAGCTTTAAGATTTGACTGCCTTGCTGGATTCTGGACTTCTGTGGGGCCTTTCACTCCTTCATTTTGGCCAATTTCTCCCATTTGGAATGGGTATATTTATCCAATGTCTGTACCTCCATTGTATCTAGGAAGTAAATAACTTGCTTTTGATTTTACAGGCTCATAGGCAGAAGGGACTTGCCTTGTCTCAGGTGAGACTTTGGAGTGTGGACTTTTGAGTGAATGCTGAAATGAGTTAAGACTTTGAGGTACTGTTGAGAAGGCATGATTGGTTTTGAAATGTGAGGATATGATATTTGGGGAGGGGGCAGGGGCACAATAATATGGTTTGGCTGTGTCCACACCCAAATCTCATCTTGAATTATACTCCCACAATTCTCATGTGTAGGGAGGGACTCAGTGAGAGATAATTAAATCATGGGGACCGTTTCCCCCATACTGTTCTCATGGTAGTGAATAAGTCTCACAAGCTCTGATGGTTTTATAAGAGGTTTCTGCTTTTGTTTCTGTCTCATTCTTTCTTGCCACCACCATGTAAGAAATGCCTCTTGCTACGATTGTGAGGCTTCCCCAACCACGTGCAACTGTGAGTCCATTAAACATATTTTTCTTCCCAATTTCACTCATGTCTTTATCAGCAGCATGAAAATGGACTAATACACCAACAAAAAGAAATTTTAAAAGCAATCCAGAGTATGAATGAAAAATTTTCCAAAGAGATAGATATCATAGAGAAAAACCAATCAGATCTTTTGGAAATAAAATACACACTTAGGGAAATACAAAATACAATGGAAAGTTTCAACAATAAACTAGAATAAGTAGAAGAAAGAATTCTGGAGGTCAAACACAAGGCTTTTGAATTAACCCAATCAGACAAAGATAAAGAAAGAGAGAATCAAAAGAAATGAACAGAGTCTCCAAGAAATATAAGATTATGTAAGATGGTCAAACCTAAGAATAATTGGTGTTCTTGAGGGAGAAGAGTAGTCTAAAAGTTTGGAAAACATATTTGTGGGAATAATTGAAGAAAACTTCCCTGACCTTGCTAGAGATCTACATATCCAAATACAAGAAGTTCAAAGAATGCCTGGGAAATTCATTGCAAAAAGATCATCACTAAGGCAGATGGTCATCAGGCTATCCAAAGTCAACATGAAGGAAAGAATTTTAAGAGATGTGAGACAAAAGCATCAGATAACCTATAAAGGAAAACCTATCAGACTACTAGCAGATTTCTCAGAAACGTTACAGGCAAGAAGGAATTTGGGTACTATCTTTAGCCTCCTCAGATAAAATAATTGTCAGGCAAGAATTTTGAATCCAGCAAAACTAAGCTTTATAAATGAAGGAAAGATAAATTCTTTTTTGGACAAACAAATGCTGAGGGAATTTGCCACTGCCAAACCAGCACTATAAGAAATGCTAAAAGGGGTTCTAAATCTTGAAACAAAAGCTCTAAATCTATAAAATACACCAAAATAGAAGCTCCTTAAAGCATAAATCTCACAGGTCCTATAAAACAATATTATAATGAAAATAACATCAAAGTATCTAAGTAACAACTATTATGATAACTACATTAGTACATCACATTTCAATATTAATGTTGAATGTAAATCGCCTAAAAGTTTCACTTAAAGATACAAAATGGCAGAATGAATAAAAACCACCAACCAGTATCTGCCGTCTTCAGGAGGCACACTTAACGCTAAGGACTGAAATGAACTCAAGATAAAGGGGTGGAAAAAGATACTCCATGCAAATGAAAACCAAAAGCAAGCAGGAGTAGCTATTCTTATATTAGACAAAAGAGACTTTAAAGCAACAATAGTAAAAAAAGACAAAGAAGGACATTGTATAATGACAAAAAGACTAGTCTATCCTAAGTTTATATGCAGCTAACCACTGGATATCCAAGGTTTATAAAACAATTACTACTAAACCTGAGAAATGTGATAGACGTCAACACAGTAATAGTGGGGTTCTTCAATACTCCATTGATAGCACTAGACAGATCATCAAGACAGAATATCAACAAGGAAACAACGGACTTAAACTATACCTTAGAACAAATGGAATTAACAGGTATTTACAGAATGTTCTACCCAACAACAATAGAATATACATTCTTCTCATCAGTACATGAAACATTCTGCAATATAGATTATATGATAGGCCACAAAACAAGTCTCAATAAATTTAAGAAAGTCAACATCCTATCAAGTGTCTTCTCAGACAGTGGAATAAAACTGGAAATCAACTCCAAAAGAAATACTTAAAACTATACAAATACATGGAAATTAAATAATCTCCTCTTGAATATTTGAGTTAAAGAAATCAAGATGGAAATTAGAAAATTCTTTGAAATGAACAATAGTGACACAACTTATTAAAATCTCTGGGATGCAGCAAAAGCAGTGCTAAGTGGAAAGTTAATAGTGTTAAATGCCTACATCAAAAAGTCTGAAAACGCACAAATTGACTACCTAATTTTACACCTCAATGAACCAGAGAAACAAGAACAAACCAAATCCAAACCCAGCAGAAGAAAAGAAATAACAAAGATCAGAGCAAAACTAACTGAAATTGAAACATATATACAAAAGATAAATGAAACAAAAAGCTGGTTCTTTGAAAGAATAAACAAAATTGATAGATGATTAGTGAGATTAACCAAGAAAAGTAGAAAATCAATATAAGCTCGATTAGAAATGAAACTGGAGACATTACAACTGACACCACAGAGATACTAAAGATCATCCAAGGCTACTATGAATATCTCTACATGCACAAACTAGAAAATCTAGAGGACATGGATAGGTTCCCGGAAACATACAATCCTCCTAGATTAAATTAGAAAGAAATAGGAACCCTGAACAGACCCATGACAAGCAGTGAGATCAAATCCATATTTAAAAATTGTCAGTGAAATTGCCCATCAGATGGATTCACAGCTGAATTCTACCAGACATTCAAAGAATAATTGGTACCAGCCGGGTGTGGTGGCTCATGCCTGTAATCCCAGCACTTTGGGAGGCCAAGGCGGGCCGATCACCTGAGGTCAGGAGTTTGACACCAGCCTGACCAACATGGAGAAACCCTGTCTCAACTAAAAATACAAAAAATTAGCTGGGTGTGGTGGCGCATGCCTGTAATCCCAGCTACTTGGGAGGCTGAGGCAAGAGAATCACTTCAACCTGGGAGGTGGAGGTTGCAGTGAGCCGAGATCGTGCCATTGCACTCCAGCCCGGGCAACAAGAGTGAAACTCCGTCTCAAAAAAAAAAAAAAAAAAAGAATTGGTACCAATCCTACTGAAATTATTCCAAAAGATTAAGAAAGAGGAAGTCCTCCCTAAATCATTCTACAAAGCCAATATTACCCCAATACCAAAACAAAGAATGGACATAACAGAAATAGAAAACTGCAGATCAATATCCCTGATGAACATAGATGCAAAAATCCTCAAGAAAATATTAGCTAACCAAATTCAACAGCAAACTAAAAAGACAATCAAATAGATTTCATCCCAGGAATGCAGAGATAGTTTAATATATGCAAGTCAATAAATGTGATACATCACATAAACAGAATTAAAACCAACCATAAGATCATCTCAATAGACACACAAAAAATTGATAAAATACAGCATCTCTTTGATATAAAATCCTCAACAAAATAAGCATAGAATGGACTTACTTCAAAGTAATAATAGCTATATATGACTAACCCACAGCCAACATCATGCTGAATGGGGGAAAATTGAAAGCATTCCCTATGAGAACTGGAACATGACAAGGATGCCCACTTTCACCACTTGTATTCAACATAGTACTGGAAGCCTTAGCCAGAGCAATCAGACAAGAGAAAGAAATAAAGGGCATCCAAATTGGAAAAGAGGGAGTCAAACTGTCACTGTTCATTAATAATATGATTGTACACCTAGAAAGCCCTAAAGAGTCATCAAAAAAGCTCCTAGATTTGACAAACTAATTCAGTAGTCTCAGGATACAAAATCAATGTGCACAAATTAATAGCACTGCTATACACTGACAACAACCAAGCTGAGAATCAGTAAATAATTCAATCCCTTTTACAACAGCTGCCAAAAATAAAATACTTAGGAATGCACTTACCCATTGAGATGAAAAATCTCTACAAGGACTGCTGAAAGAAATCACAGAGGACAGAAACAACACATCCCATGCCCATGGTTAGAAATAATCAATACTGTGAAAATGACCATACTGCCAAATCAATCTATAAATTCAATGCAATTTCCATCAAAATGCCACCATCATTCTTCATAGAACTAGAAAAAACAATCCTAAAACTCATATGTAAACTAAAAAGAGCCTGCATATCCCAAGTAATGCTAAGCAAAAACAACAGATATGGAGGCATCACTCTATCTGACTTCAAATTATACTCCAAGGCTATAGTTACCAAACAGCATGCTACTGGTATAAAAATAGGCACATGGATAAATGAAACAGAATATAGAACCCAGAATTAATGCCAAATACTTATAGCCAACAGATATTTGACAAAGCATACAAAAACATAAAGTGAGGAAAGATACCCTATTCAATAAATGATTCTGGGACAACTGGCAAGCCACATGTAGAATAATAAAACTGGATCCTCGTCTCTCATCTCATGCAAACATCAACTCAAGATGAATGAAAGTCTTTTACTTAAGACATGAAACCATAAAAATCCTAGATAATAAAATCAGAAAGACTCTTCTGGACATTGGCTTAGGCAAATAATTCGTGGTTAAAATCCCACAAGCATACGCAACAAAAAGAAAAATAAATAAATGGGACCTAATTAATCTAAAAAGCATCTTCACAGCAAATAAAATAATCAGTAGTGTAAACAGACAACCCGCAGATTGAGAGAAAATATTCACTTTTTATGCATCGGACGAAGGACTAGAATGCAGAATCTACAAGGAACTCAAACACACCAGCAAGAAAAAAACAAATAATCCCATCAAAAGTGGGCAAAGGACATGAATAGAGATTTCTCAAAAGAAGATATGCAAACAGCTAACAAACATACAAAAAATGTTCAACTCATCATCCGGGAAATGCAAATTAAAATCATAATAAGATACCACCTTACTCCTGAAAGAATGGCCATAATTAAAAAGTCAAGAAAACAATAGATGTTGGCATGGATGTTGTGAAAAGGGTACACTTTTACACTGCTGGTGGGAATATAAATTAGTATAACCACTAAGGAAAACAGTATGGAGATTCCTTAAAGAATTATAAGTAGAACTATTGTGTGATCCAGCAATCCCACCACCGGGTATCTACCAAAAGGAAAAGAAGTCATTACATGGAAATAGATACATAAACACACGTTTACAGCAGCACAATTAGCAATTGCAAAAATATGGAACCAATCTAAGTGCCCATTGACCAACGAGTGGATAAAGAAAATGTGGTATATATACAACACAGAATACTACTCAGCCATGAAAAAGGATAAAATAATGTCTTTTGCAGCAACTTAAATGGAGCTACAGGCCATTATTCTAAGTGAAGTAACTCAGGAATGGAAAACGAAATATCATATGTTCTCACGTGTAAGTGGGAGCTAAACTATGAGCACACAAATGCATAAGAAAGATAATAATGGACTTTGGGGACTGTTGGGGAAAGGTTGGGAGGGAGCGAGAGACAAAAGACTACGTATTGAGTACAGTGTACACCATTCAGGTGACAGGTGCACTAAAATCACAGAAATAACCACTAAAGAACATATCCATGTAACCAAAGGCCACTTGTACCCCAAAAACTATTGAAAATTATAAAACTGCCTAAAAATGAAAAAACCACGATAAAGTACCACTACACACCTATTACAATGATTAAAATTAAAAACATTGGACATATCAAAGTTAGAAAGATGAAATGCAACTAGAACTCTCATACCCTGTTGGTGGGAATGTAAAATGTTACAATCATTTTGGGAAACAGTGTTGCAGTCTCTTAAAAAATTAAATACACATCTACCATATGACTCACCCTACCTTTTCCTTGGTATTTACCCCCCCCCCAAAATAAAAGCCCACATCCATACAAAGACTTGAACACAAAATTTTCATAAAAGCTTTATTTGTATGAGCCCCAAACTGGAGCTGACTCAAATATCCCTAAACAAGTGAATGAATAAGCAAATTTTGGTGCATTTAAACACTGGAATACTACTCAGCACTAAAAAGATATGAACTACCCATACACGCAACAACACGAATGAATCTCAGAATAATTATGCTGAGTGAAAGAAGCCAGAAGAGAAAAGAATACACTCTATATGATTCCACTTATATAAAATTTTAGAAAATGCCAACTAATTTATAGTGAAGGAAAACAGATTAGTGATTGGGTACAAGCTGGGCAGGGGAGGAGGCAGACATGACAAAGGGGCATGAGGAAACCTTTGGTGGGTAACAGATATGTTCATTATATTGATTGTGTTGATGGTGTGACGGTATATACCTATGCCAACATTAACAAATTATGCATTTTAAATATGTGTAGTTTATGACATGTCAATTGTACCACAATAAAGCTATTTTTAAAAATAAGAATTTATTGCAGGTCTAACACCATTCTTGTTAAAATATATAACGCAATCATGATGGCTTAGAAAAGCAGGGTAGAGACAGACTTATGCTTCACAGGGAACCTAAGTACAACAATTTTTCTACGTTTAGAAGAGAGAGACCCTCAATCATTCTACATATATGACAACAATATAAGGAGACACACAAATATGTAAAATTTACTTTTTGAATCACCTAGCAGAAAGGTAATATAATGCTTGCATAAGCATACTGGGTCTTCATTAAGTGCAAAGATTTATTCATTTTTCTCATATTAGCTCACTGAAAATTAAACACAAGCTACTGGTTCTGGCCTGTCATTCATTCTGCAGCTATTATGGGAATTCTCAGCAGCTGGGGCCACAGAGAGCAAAGATGCCAATAATTTACATATCATATTAAGCATGTGATGACAGAATTGCTTGGCAACTTTAATTTTTATTCCAAATATATTCCAAAGGTGTAGGATAGAAAAAGAAAATGCACTTAATGTGTTCCACAGGGAAATATACATTACAGAGCATTCAGGAAATTCCCCTGTTTAAAATAAATGCATAACAGGAGGAGGATAAAATTGTAATGGTGTTACTTTTAAGGAACAGAACTAAGAGGTGAGGAATGAAGAGGAAAGAAAGATCTATTTTTTGGTATGGTTTTTTATATATTCTTGGAAGTTATTGTCATGTGCAGAAGTTACATTTTTAAGAGAAAACTAAATAATAAAAATTTTAAGATGCAGCACAACTCTGTCACTGAAATGCTTGTCCCAGGTCAATCCTCAGGAATGAATCTGCTACTAGGGCTCCTCCCTTCATATCAAAATAATTATATATAGATAGACATCACTATCTATGTCTATATATAGGCATATAGTAATATATATATATCTATAGAGAGACATAGTAATATATATCTATATATACACAAACATAGATATTTAGTAATTATATATCTATATATAGACATATATAGTGATACACACACATATATATATTTTATATATATATATCTTACTACTGTGTCTACCTATTCTATTTGACATAATAAACTGGTGCATTACTTGCAATGATCATTGGGTAATGGTGGCTGACAACCTGTGACACGCCCCAACCCCCCAACCCCCTATTGCCAACAGGCTATAATAGATTGTGGAAACATGGGTTGATCCAATATATTGGTTTTTTCATCTATAACTTGAGAAATATGTTTATTTTTACACAGTTGTGGCTAATTTACATTCACTTTCATCTTTTAAAAATATTATATACAGCATTAATGTTAACTGCTTTCCATAATGAAACAAAATGTGCTCTGTTATCAGTCTTCAGGAGTGTCATTGAAAGATACTTTCCTTTGTCATTTAGTAATTTAATCACTTTGCATCCTATTTTTAAAAGCCTCCAAAATGTTAGCAGACATCCATTATCAGATCAGATACCTCTTACTTTCAATTATTTAGTTATCCCAGAGGAAGAATGGTATAAATGTTTTTGTATATCTCCTGATAAATTCTAATGGAGAAAAAAAAACTACTTAATTAGACTCTTAGTTTACTCTTGTGCAAGCACCACAGGAAAAGCAGTATCTGTGTTTAAGTTAGTTATCTTGTTTTTAAAAAAGAAAGGTAAAGAACATGAAAGATATATGTTATAAATTATTCTTTACAAACCTGTATACATCAAATTTTATATGTAACAAAGCTATAATCTTTATGGTATCTGTAAACTCTCTTTAATAGTAATATATTAACTTTATCTACAAGGTCATCAAAAAGACCCTTAGAATACAAATTAAAATGGTCAATGGCTAAAGTCCCGAGAGCCATTATTGTACCAAATCTATTACCAAGTATTCTGACATATCTGGTTTCAAATCCAGTCTTTATCACTGACTAAATCTGCAACTTTGAACAAGAAATATAATATCTATGATGCTCAATTTTCTCGCCCATAAAATTGAGACAGTAATTCATAAAAATGGACTTATTGTAAGGTTTAAATAAAATGATATATGTGAGGTGCTGGTAGATGGTAGGTAACCAACTAATGTTCTTACCTTACCCTTCAGAGTTATAAGCAGCACTTATCTTAGCCAGTAGTTTTAAAAATGAAAGCATTGACACTTCCCTTTCTGCTAATGTTCAGGTTTACCACATTAGTTTGATTTAATTGGTTATTATGAGATCTAGAATATATACAGTTTTGCATTCAATAACTTGGAATAGCTGTTCCACACTATCTATATAATGTAATTTTATGTTTAAAAACACTGCTCTTAAGTTGTAAGTTGTCATTTCTATGTGATAAAGCTTCTGTGCCCAGAAAACCATTCAAGATCATTTGAACACACTGAAACCTTACAGAAATAATTTTACAGAATTAATGCTGAGAAGTAGCACTATGAACATTCAGAGATTTTCATATTGTAGTGAAATAAAGACCATAAGTGATTAACTAGAAGCCAGAAAAAACATTTTATAAAGGTTTTCTGGCAATCAACTCTGCCAAAACACACTCAATAATCAAAAACACAATTTATGGATATTGAAAAGAAATAAGCATATTAACAATCTTATAAAATTATAGAATCATGTCATTCTTCATTCAACAAACTTTTATTTATTTATTTGTACCAGTATCAAGTTTTAGGGACCCTAGACTAGAAAGACATAACATTGTCCACAGAGAATCCACTTCCTAGTGGCTAAAGCTGTCAGACAGATAACTACAGTAGAGGATAACATGTTTTATAGAGGAAGACACTAGAGAGTGGTGTAGGAGCCCCTGAGAATAGGTGTGAGGAAATTTCTAGGGTCAAGATAGTACCTGAACTGAGTCCTTTCCTGAGTAGGAGTTAGCTAAGCCTGGTTGCAAGGAAAGAGCTATTTAAGCAGACATTTGCAGGGTGCTGACTAAATAAAGAACTGGCTTCTGGATGAGATGCTAATGAACTATTTGAAAATCTGCCTTGTTGATATTAACAAAGAAGCCTTAAAATTAAGCACAGTTTATCTGGAGCCCAACAGATTATTCCCTCTCCATCTTAAAACTGTAAATATGAGCTGCTAGAAAATGTCTGACTGACTGAAAATGTCACCACATGCAAATCAATTTTTATTAATCCAAAATTGTCAGTTGGCATATTTTAAGAAGTGGTATCAGCAACCACCAACAACCAATATAGGCTAGCAAAATTAGAAGATTTACTTCACAGAGAGTAAAGCTTGGAGTATCTTAACTAAAAAAAGAATATGCATCCAAATGAACTCATTAACAGGAACTTAGCAGCTGCCAGATTACTACTAAGAATGAAGAGGCTATTGAAATGTAAACCACAAGAGAAGAGAATTGGACAAGTGGTAAAAAGCACAATAATATTCTCCAAAAGAATTCCAAAAATACATCAATTGGCATTCCTAATTTAAAATAATGTTCCTTCCTTAAATATGAGAAGTTCCTATATTAAAACAGAGACCCAGTTTGACTAAGCGTTTTTTATATTCAGTAACTTGGGCTTCATATGCTTATTATATTTTATATTCTAGATGCATTTTGGACTCAGACCTTCAGCCTTCATTAAACACTAAATCAATATAAGTGTTTTAACATCCCAGAGACATAGACATTGTGTTTATTAGATGAAGAATCATATTATTAAAGTTTGACATTTTCCCACATCTCTGAAAAATCACCATTGGCACTTAGTAACAAATTTTAGTCACAAAAAAAGATATGTTTATATGGGATGTTCCCAAATCCCAATATTGGTAGATTCCTTTTTACCTACAAATCATACCCATGAAATGCCAATTTGCTTTTCAACAATAAGATGACCAAAAGATCCCACAGTTGCCTCATCACATTTTATAATACATATTCTGAGCATGTTTGTCATGTCAACTTTGCATATTTATTTTCAATATACAAGTATTCATTATTTGTCACCTTATAGAGACAAACTTTACCATAGAATCTAATATTCCTCTAAATGCCAAATATGTTTTCATATTAATAGCCCAAAGCACTATAAAAATTATTTGTTTACATTGGCCTGAGTCAAAGAATATGGTATAAATAAATTCTTTTATAAAAAAGGTAGGCATATGGTGAAAAATTAGCCTTTTAGCTAAATTCTGTCCACAAGTCATGACCGTAGAAAAGAATGCTGAAAAAAGACCATGGTTCTCTCTTCTTTGTAATGCCCTACAGCACTTGGTGCAATGTTCTGCGAGAAGCAAATAATCTATGATCATTAATAGTCCTTTGGGAGGAGGCTTCAAGATGGCTGGCTAGAGGCACTGGGCACTCATCTCCTACACAAACAAGAACCAAAGAGTGAGTAAATAATCACACTTAGAATAAAGCCTCTAAGAGAGAACACTGGTATTCAGCAGGGAAGTGACAGGAAACACTCAGGGAACTGAAAAAGAAAGAGAGGCACCCAGCCTGATTAGGATTGTCTGGGAGCCCAGAGAGGCCCTCAATGTGGAGAAAGCATAAGAGGGATCCCCATCAGTCCACATTCCCATCACGAATTCCTGCAATCCCAGCCACAGGAGAGCCCCTTAATCATTATGCACCCTGAGACTAGCATAGACAGCTGCCTAGAATCCGCGAGAAGGCATTATTCTTGAGAGAGAGTTCACACTGAGTTCCACTCCCCACCCCCAAGACCCAAGCAGCTGCAGTATGATGCTATTTTGAAAGCCTGGACCTTTCAAGACTGCATAATGCCTTGGGGTGCACAGCCCCTTCATCTCCGCATCCCTGGAACCCCCACTGATGTCCTCCTGTAAACACATGGAGGGCTGCAGTGACACCAGTTGCACCCAGCAGTGCAGTTGGATTCCCACTCCAGTCCACACAGTGTCCAACACGCCGGAGAATAGGCAGTGCTGCACACCTTCCAAGCTGTCTCTGGGACAATGGGAGACAAGGCATGCATTTTGCAGAGTCTGAGAGCCACCTGCCTCAGGCTGCTGTCATTGACAGCAACCCTACACCCTCCTTACCAGCAGGGCAAACACAGAGGACAGGCTCTCTCCTTTAGCCATCCCCACCCAGGAGCCTAGGAATTGCCTCAGCCCCCTCACCACAGCCTGCACCCTTGCACAGCATCATAGGGTCCTGAAGACAGACTCTTACTGCATGGTATCAGGCCCCCACCAGGGCCCAAACTGTGCCCCCCAACTCCTGCCCCCCATTTGGGGATCCCGTTCCCACTGGTCACCCCAGCAGTCAAAACCACAAGAGATAGAATCTTACCCCAGTTAGAATGGCTATTATCAAAAAGACAAAAAATAGCATGCTGGCAAAGCTGTGCAAAAAAGAGAACCCTGTTGGTGGGAATGTAAATTAGTCCAGCCATTATTGAAAACAGTATGGCTCCAATACTTGGGTTTTCTCTCTCCAAATTTAAGCTCTTTAAAAATATTTGGCCTCTTCAAGATGCTTTACTCAAAATTACATGATTCTAGTATTTTCACTAATATCAGAAGAAACTTCCTTTTCCAGGAAAAAAAAAAGATTAACAGAGAATGGATTTACCATCCTTTCTGAAAAATCTTTCAATAGACAAAGTATAGGATATGGTAGTTCTCGATACATATGTGAAAAACAGTGATTCCTAAGAGACAGGGAAGAATGTGAGCCCTACAACTGCCCCAGGTTAGTGCCTAAAGAGAGTTTCATAGGCTATGATTCAGTGAGGGAGAACTTACACTGGGAAGACTTACAGGTAAGATATTGCTAGGAATCCAGGCTGACAAAATCAGCTAGTGGTCACAGAGAGGGGAAGAAAGGAGAGAGCTGCCAAAAGACAGGGGAAACCAAGGTCTGAGGAGGGTGCCCCTCATATCATCAGCTGAGTACTGATTGGAGCATGGACATGAGGAATCTACCAAGGCCGGGAAACATTAATCCTAGAATAAGTATGGCTCTAAGTCTACTTAACAAAGCTTAAGGGTAAGACTCAAAAGAACCAAACTGTTTCCAAGTAACTAAACTGTGTCCCACAATAAAACTCAATGATACTTTCATAAATACAAATATATCCAGCACCCAAAATTTGCAATGTATAGTATCCAGTAAAAAATTAACGAGCATGTAAAGAAGTAAATTTCATCCACAATACTCAAAAAAGTCAGTTGAAGTTGACCTAAAAATTACAAACATGATAGGATCAGTAGACGAGAACAATGAAACAGTTGTTATAACTGCATTCCATATGTTCAAGAAACTAGAGAAAGAACTGAGGGTATTAATTGGAGATATGGAAGATATAAAAATCCACTGAAGTCAAACTTCAAGAGATGAAAACTATGGTGATGAAAAATACAAAACCACTGTAAATATAAAGACACAAATGTATCAAAAGTAAAAAGATGGACCACAGTGAGATACTATCTTACACCTGTTAAACTGGCTATTATCAAAAAGAAGAAAGATAAGAAGTGTTGGCAAGGATGTGGAGAAAAGGGAACACTTAAGCACTGTTGGTAGTATTGTGAATTAGTACAGTGATTTTGGAAAAAACTATGGAGTTGCCTCAAAAAAGTAAAAATAGAGCTACCATATGATCCAGCAATCTCACTACTGGGTATATACCCAAAGAATTAAAATCAGTATGTTAAAGAGATGTCTGCACTCCCATGTTCATTGCAATATTATTCACAATAGCCAAGATATAGAAACAATCCAAGTGTTCATCAGTGGATGAATGGACTTTAAAAATGTGTACATTTACAATGCAATACTATTCATCCTCTATCAAACAAGAAATTCTGTCATTTGTGACTTCATGGATGAACCTAGAGGACATTACGTTAAATGAAATAAACGAGGCACAAAGAGAAAAATACCATGTGATCTCACTTATATGTGGCATCTAAAAACATCAAACTCAGAAGTAGAAAGTAGGATGGTGGTTATCAGAGGCTGAGCGTGGAAAGGTGGAGAGAGAAAGGAGAGATGTTGGTCAACAGCCAAGTTTCAGTTAGATAGGAGGAATAAGTTCTGTTGTTCAGCTGCACAACATGATGACTATAGTTAATAAAATAAATATTTTGCTATACTTCAAAATAGCAAAAAGAGAAGATTTTAAATATTCTTTCCATAAAAAATGATAAATATTTGGGGTGATGGTTATACTAATTCACTTGATTTAATTATTCCAAATGATTACATGTGTTGAAACATCACATTGTACCATATATATATATATATATATAAATTTGGCATTAAAAATAAAAAGGAGAACCAATATCAAAAGTAATTAAGATATTTATCATTTTTATAAAATTATTGCCTTAAATAATAATTTCTTTAAAAGGGTATAACTCTTAAAATCTCACAAAGTAATAGGTTTTTACTTCTAATATTTATTTTTAGTGAAAGGCAATGAAACAATAGAGGCAAATTCATCACCTCATAATCCTAGCGTTCTTTGCTTTGTGATAGATCAGCAAATTAGGCATCTGTTAGCATCCAGTGAAAACTTTCAATGAGAGAATTCAGTAGAAATAAAAAACCGAATATCTATTCAGAAATACAACTAGTATGACATTTTGACAGATGCTTTCTGAACTTAACATACACAGGTAAATAAATTTCCCTTTATTATCCATAAACATTGTGTAAAACTAGATGTTTCACTGTTTACCAACCTTGATTTGTAATTTTTATGCAAAGTATATTGATACACATAATGCTAAACTACTCAACAACAAATTATTAGAGAGACAAAGATATGAAATGTCATCGTAAAGAAAAACACAACATTAATCTCTTCAACAAGAAATATTCAAGCTTATAAAAAAAGATAGTGTAAGAAAAGATCAAATATTTATACAGAATTAGGATTACAGATGGACACAGCATTATAATTTAAAAGTATGCATATAATTACATACAATTTACTATTTCTAAATGTGTTTTTCCTTAGAAGGTTTTTAGCTATAAACAAAATGCTTTCCAAAAAGGACTTGAATAATATTTTCTCACTATAATCACCACCATTTTGAGGTGTTTTGGTAACTTTTAAAATAAAGAACCTATGGTAACACTAGATTAAACCCTTGGTTCAAGGTCCCATGAAGAGTTAACTGGTTCATTATTTATTCTGTCATTCAGTCATTTAAACATTTATTAAAGACCACTGAATCCAAAGAACAGTGTTAAGAACTAGATAAATAGTTGAATCAAACACAGTTGACCTACTAGTGGTTACATTTGAGATAAATAAAAATTCAATCTCATGGACTTTATATAATGGTCTTTTGTTTATCATTTTCATCTTCCTTTATATCACCTTCACACAAAAAAACATAACGTTATTGCCTCCACTGATAATCATATCCAAACCTTGTTATTCTTTTTTATCAAAGATTTAATTTTCAATGTTTAGATTTTAATGAAATACTCTTTTATTCACCAGCTTTATTAAGGTATAACTGACAAAAACTTTATATATTTGTCTGAGTTTGTTTGGGCTGCTATAACAACGTACCATAGACTGAGTGGCCTACAAACTACAGAAATCTATTTTCACAGCTCTGGAGGCTAAGAAACCCAAGATCAAGACACCAGAGGACTGTGTCTGGTGAGGAGCCACTTTCTGGTTCATGCATAGCACCTTCTAGATGTGTCCTCATGTAGTGGAAGGGCAAACCAGCCCTTTGAAACATCTTTTATAAGGAAACTAACTCTTAATCAGATTCCAAAGACCCACCTCTGAATAACATCACATTGGTGATTGGGTTTCAACACATGAATTTTGGAAGGGACACAAACATTCAGACCATAGCAATATTTAAGGTGTACAGTGTGATGTTTTGACATACGTGTTCATTGTAAAATTGACATATTTCCCAATTTTTCTGTACCCTAGTCCCTGGCAAACACCATGCTACTCTGCTTGTGTGAATTCAAAGTTTTTAGATCCTGTATATAAACAAGATCATGCAGTATTTGTTTTCCTCTGTCTGGAATATTTCAATTAGCATAATGTCCTCTGTGTTTAATCATGTCATTAATCCTTAAGGCTGAACAGTATTCCACTGTGTGTACCTACTCATCTATTGATCAACTCTTGGGTTGTTTCTATATCTTGGCTGTTATGAATAATGCTGCATGAACATTTGGGAGCAAATATCTATTGGAAATACTGATTTCATTTCCTTTGGTTATATAGTCATGCACCACAACAGGATGTTTCAATCGATGATGCACAACATATATGACAGTGGTCCTATAATATAATGGAGTAAAAAATTCCTGTCACCTAATGTCATAGCCATTGTAATGTTACAGTGCAATGTATTACTCACATGTTTATGGTGATACTGGTGTAAACAAGCATACCGCACTGACAGTCATATATAATATGGCACATACAATTATGTATGGTACATAATACTTGGTAATAAAAAAATGACTATACTACTGGTTTATTTCTTTACTATACTTTTTATTGCTATTTTATAGTATACCCCTACTTATTTTTTTTTTAAAGTTAACTGTACAGCAGCCTCAGGCAGGCCCTTCAGGACATATTGCAAAAGAAGGCATTGCTTTATAGGAAATGAAGCTCATGTGAGTTATTGTCCCTGAAGAACTTCCACTGGGACAAGATGTGGAGGTGCAAGTCAGTGATATTGATGATCCTGACCCCGTGTAGACCTAGGCTAGTGTGTGCATTTGTCTCCTAGTTTTTAACAAAAGTTTAAAAAGAAAAAAAGTTAACAAAAAATTAAAAACGTTTATAGAATAAGGATATAAAGAATATTTTTATACAACAGTACAATGTGTTTGTGTTTTAAGCTAAGTGTTATTATGAAAGTCAAGAAGTTTTAAATGAATTTAAAAGTCTATAAAGGGAAAATGTTACAGTAAGCTAAGGTTAATTTATTATTGAAGGAGAATACTTTGTTATAAATTTAGTGTAACTTAAGTGTACAGTCTTTATATAGTCTGTAGTAGTATATAGTAATGTCCTAGGCCTTCACATTCACTCATCACTCACTGACTCACCCTCAGCAACTTCCAGTCCTGAAAACTCCATTCATGGTAAGTGCCCTATACAAGTGTACATTTTTTATTTTTTTAAAACTTTTAGAAATTTTATTGAAGTTCGGCCTACACACAGAAAAATGTGCCTAAGTGTCAGCTCTGTGAATTTTCACAAAATGAACATATGTGTAACCAGGATCAACAGTGTGTTACCAGCACCCAGAAGTCTCCTAGTCACTATCCTAACCTCTAAGCCACTTTTCCTGACTTCTAACAACATGAATTTGTGTCTTTTTGTGTATCATATATATGGAATCATATGCTACCTGTATATATTGTTTTGTGTCTGGTTTCTCTTACTTAACATTATGTTTGTGAGAGCCACCCATATTAAGGCATACAGTTGTAGTTCAGGTATTCTCATTTATTTTAGAGACAGAGTCTTTGTCACCCAGGCTGGAGTGCAATGCCAGTGGCACGAGTATAGCTCACTGTAGCCTCGAACTCCAGGGCTCAAGTGACCCACCCACCTCAGCCTCCCAAGTAGCTGGGACTTGCAGGTCTGTGCCACCACACCTGGCTATGTTTTGGTTTTTTGTTTGTTTTTTTGTGTTTTGTTTTGTTTTGTAGAGCTGGGGCCTTGCCATTGCCTAGGCTTGTCTCGAACTCCTTGCCTCAGGATTCTCCCAGCTTGGACTCCCAAAACACTGGTACTACAAGTATGAGCCACTGTCCCCAGCCCCCATTTTTAAAAATCTTTTATACCATGTATTTATTGTATCTATGTTTAGGTGTGCTTAGATACACAAATGCTAACCAGTGTGTTACTATTGCCTATAGTATTAAGTACATGCTTTGCGGGTTTGTAGCCTAGAAGCAATAGGCTATATCATATAGCCTAGATGTGTAGTAAGCTATACTATCTAGATTTGTGTAAGTTCACTTTATTTGTTCACATGATGACAAAATCACCTAATGACACATTTCTCAGACATATTCCCATTGTTATGTGACATGTTACTGAATACTCAAAAGTGGAATTGCTAGATCATATGGTAGTTCTATTTCTAATTTTTAGATTTTCTATACTGTTTTCTGTAATAGCTGTGCCAATTTACATTCCCATCAACAGTATACAAAGGTTCCCTTTCCTCTACATCCTTGCCAACACTTAACTTTTGTCTCTGATAGTAGCCAGCCTAACAGGTATGAGGTGATAACTCATTGTGGTTAGTTTTTTTTCTAACATTAAAATATATACATATGGTGTACAACATGCTATTTTGGTACACATATTACATAGTGAAATGATTACTATAGTTAAGCAAACTAAACCATCAATTACCTTCCATAGTTACCCATTCATTTTGTGTGGTGTAAGCACATAAAATCTACTCTCTTAGCATAATTTTTGTTAAACAGTTGTCGTTTGGTGTATGCAGGTTTCACAACCCACAAATAATTGAATTTTCAATCTGTGTTTGCTTGAAAAAAATCCATGTATAAGTGGACCTACACAGTTGAAACCTGGGTTGTCCAAGGGTCAACTGTATAATATCGTATTATTAAATTATAGTCCTCATACTGTATGTTAGATCTCTGGACTTAACACTTCCTACATAACTACAGTACTCTTTTACCCACTTCCCATTTCCTCCCCTACCCATTTCTGGTAACCACTGATCTACTCTCTGTTTCTACATGTTTGAAATATATAGTCCACATATAAGTGAGATAATACGGCATTTTTCTCTCTGTTTCTGCCTTATTTCACTTAGCATAACATCTTTCAGGTTGATCTATGTTGTTATAAATAACAATACCTCCTTTTTTAAGCCTAAATAATATTTCTCTGTGTGTGTGCATATCTGTAGCACAGAGAGAGAGAGAGAGAGAGAGAGAGCACAATTCTTTACTCATTAATCCATCATGGATTCTTAGGTTGTTTCCACATCTTCGTTACTGTAAATAATACTGCAATGAATGTGGGAGTGTAGCTATCTCTACAAGGTGCTGATATCATTCCCTTTGGCTCTATACCCAGCAGAAGATTTGCTGGGTCATATGGTAGTTCTATTTTTAATTTTTAAAGAAATATCCATGACATTTTCTGGTTGTACCAGTTTACATTCCCACCAACAGTGCGCAAAGGTTCCCTTTTCTCACATTCTCATCAACACTTCTTACTCTTTTTGATAACAGCCATCCTAACGGTATAATATGATATCTTATTGTGGTTTTGATTTGCATCTCCCTAATGCTTGTTGAGAAACTTTTTATATTACCTGTTGATCATTTATGTGTCTTCCTTGGGAAAAAAATGTCTATTCAGGTATTTTGCCTAGTTTTTAAATTATACTTTAAGTTCTGGGATACTTGTGCAGAACGTGCAGGTTTGTTACATAGGTATACATGTGCCATGGTGGTTTGCTGCACCCATCAACCCATCATCTACATTAGGTATTTCTCCTACTGCTATCCCTCCCCTAGCCCCCCACCCCCTGACAGGCCCCTGTGTGTGATGTTCCCCTCCCTGTGTCCATGTGTTCTCATTGTTCGACTCCCACTTATGAGTGAGAACATGTGGTGTTTGGTTTTCTGTTCCTGTGTTAGTTTGCTGAGAAGGATGGTTTCCAGATTTATCCATGTCCCTGCAAAGGACATGAACTCATCCTTTTTTATGGATGCATACTATTCCATGGTGTATATGTGCCACATTTTCTTTATCCAGTCTATCATTGATGGGCATTCGGGCTGGTTCCAAGTCTTTGCTATTGTAAACAGTGCTGCAATAAGCATACATGTGCATGTGTCTTTATATTTTTAATTAGTTTTTTGTGTTATTGAGCTATGAGTTCCTTATATATTTGAATATTTATATTATAGATATATGGTTGGCAAATATTTTCTCTATCTGTAGGTTGTCTTTTCATTTTGTTCATTGTTTCCTTTGCTGTGCTAAAGCTTTTTAGTTTGATGTAGTCTCACTTGTTTGTTTTTACTTTCGTTGCCTGGCCTTTTGGTGCGATGTTCAAAAAATTATTGCCAAGACCAATATCAAGGAGACATTCTCTATTTTTTCTTCTAGAAGTTTTATAGTTTCATGTCTTATATTCAAGTCTTTAATCCATTTAAGTTTGTTTTTGTGTATAAAGATACAATTTTAAATTTTTACATGCAAATATCCAGTTTTCCCAACACTATTAAAGAAATTAATAGTCCCTTATGATGCTTTTTTATTTCTGAGGCATCTGTTGTAAGGTCTCCTCTTTTATTTCTGATTTTATTTACTTGAGAATTTTCTCTTTTTTTTACTTAGTATAGCTATGGGTTTATTCATTTTGTTTACCTTTTCAAAACACTGACTTATAATTTTGTTGATTTTTTCTATTGTTTTGTTAGTGTCTTTTTCATTCATTCATAATTTTGTTGATTTTTTCTCTTGTTTTGTTTGTGTCTTTTTCATTTATTCCTGCCCTGACATTTATTATTTCCTTCCTTCCGCTAGCTGGGCTTTTGTTCTTTTTCTAGTTCCTTGAGGTCTAACATTAAGTTGTTTGAGATCTTTCTTCTTTTGTAATGTAGAGATTTATCATTATAAATGTCCTGCTTTGTGCTGCTTTTGCTGCATCTCCTAACTTTTGGTATGCTGTGTTTTCATTTTCATTTATCTCTAGATATTTTTCAAATTCCATTTTGATTTCCTTTTTTAACTCAGTGCTTTTTAAGATTGTGGTGCTTATTTTCAGTGTGTCTGTGAGGTGTTTTTGATTGTTGTTTGTTTTTCAGTTTGTTTGGTTGTGGTTGCTTGCTGTTATTGATTTTTAGTTTCACCCCATTGTGGCTGAAACAGATACTTTATGTTGATCTTCTTTAAATTATTAAGACTTGTTTTGTGATCTAACATGTGATCGATCCTGAAGAATGTTCCATGTTGCTTGAGAAGAATGTGTATTCTGATGTTGGATGGAATGTTCTGTGTATGTCTTTTAGATCCATCTGGTCTACAGTGTTTTTCAACTTTGTTGTTACCTATAGCTTAAGTCCATGGGAGCCAGCCTGGCACTGAGGTAAGTCTAGCCTGGGTCTGAGGCAAGCTCAGAACCTGAGTACACAGGTGCTAGTGTGTAGCTTGGTGCTAGTGTGTTGTTGAGCTATGAGTTCCTTATATATTTGAATATTTATATTATAGATATATGGTTGGCAAATATTTTCTCTTAATCTTTAGGTTGTCTTTTCATTTTGTTCATTGCTTCCTTTGCTGTGCTAGGAAAGGAGCCTGGGGCCATGGAGGCTGATCTGGTATCAGGGATCATTAAGACTGACCTGGTGCTTGGGTCAATGGCAAAGCTGGGTACTCATTTCACTCTCCTTGTCCCATGCGAAGGGGTTCTGTCTCCATGCTGTGCTGTACAGGTGTGGGGAAGGGGTAATGTGGCTAAGGTGAAATTGTTCCTCCCATGCTCTGTAAAGTGTCTTTTCTTATTTCTGTGCTCCACTCAGGTACTTTAATCTCTGACTTAAATTTCTTAGCTTTTGTGAAGGTATTTTCAGGCATAGATAGTTATTCAAACTGATGTTTCCATAGAGGGATGAGTGCTGGAAGTGCCTATTCTGCCTTCTTGCTGATGTCCCAACCCTTCTTATTCTAACTGATTATAAGTAGAAGATAGAATATAACCTAATAATGCGTAGCAAGCTAGTAATTATTACTGGTATTATAAGTTTATAAGTTAGAGTAGGCTAACTCCTATTCAGAAAAGACACACGTTTATACTGACTCAAACACAATAGAAGTGTATTTCTTGATCATGAACAATATCAGGTGATTGAACAAGTAAATAGGACATCCTTATTCTTCAGTGTTTTAAGAACTTACTGTGACACAGCTCTGCCATCTTGACAGCTTCCAAGGTCACATTGGATGTCATCTTTATTTTTGACAACAGAATGGAAAAGAGATAGAGGGTATTGGCGGAAGGATTTTAAAGGCCAGATGAATACATATTTTCACAATCCAGTGGCTAGAACTCAGTTACGTGATAACTCATAATCACAAAGAGGCTGGAAAGTATACTCTAGCTGTGAACTCAGGAAGAAGAGAACATGTATTTGGGTGAATATCTAAGATCTTCCACCAGAGTAAAAAGGAGATTAATTCCCTAAAATCAAATAGTGAATTAGAGTTGCCTTCACTAAAGTCAATTTTATTAATAAATTATTTTTCTTACTTTTGAATATAAACTAGAATATTTCATAATAATTATTCCATATAAAAACACTTAGAATTTCTAATGACAGGATGTTACTCTGTTTCTATATATATTCCAATAAATATTAACTTCATATTTTATTATAAATTTCCTGAATACCCTCTTTAATTTTTTTCTCTTTTCTATGAAATTACAGAGGAAACAAGTTTTTACTCAGACCAATGAAAATTTAAATTCTATCTTTTTTACTGCCTTGTATTCTTTTTTGGGCAAAATATTTTACTTTTTGAGCATTGACTTGCTTATCTGTTTACTTTGATGAAGTTACTGAATTGAGTAAATGAATCATATATATCCAAAATATTCAACTCAGTGGCATTTACAATATATGTCCTAGAAATAATGGCTCTTAATTTATATTCTTCATAATTTCATGTCTTTTGCCTGGTTTTGTTATTTAAGTTGTAGTAAAATATAAATAACATAACATTTACCATCTTAACCATTTTGAGTGCACAAGCCAGTGGCGCTAACGTACATTCACATTGCTGTGCTACGTTCACCACGATCCATCTCCAGAACTTTGCCATCCCAAATTGAAACTCTGCACCTATTAAACAATAATATTCTGTTGTGTCTTCCTTCCAGCCCCTGATCACCGCTGTTCTACCTTCTGTCTTTATGAATTTGACTATTCTAGATTTCTCATATACATGGAATCATGACAAGGTTTTATTCTCCACTCATTGCCTTTTATGTATATATTGTATATATTCTCTTTGTGATTACCAAGCGCATTACCTACAACACCCTAAAGTTAAAATAATATGATTTGAATTGATACTAATTTAACTTCAATGGCATACAAAACTCTACCCCTATACAGCTCTGTTGCCATCACTCCAGATTACTGACGTCATAAATTACCTCTTTACATATTGGATGCACAGTAACAGATTTAAAATTATGTTTATGTATTTGTCTTTTAAATTCTGTAGAAAACAAAAGGTAGAATTATAAATCAAAATTACAATAAAACTAGCTTTTATATTTGCCTGTATATTCATCCTAACTAGAGATCTTTATATCTTTGTATGGTTTCAAGTTACTAACATCCTTTAATTTCAATAAGAAAGACTCTCTCAATGAAACTAAGTTGGTTTTTTAAAAAGATAAACAAAATAGATAAACCTGTAGCTAAATTAACTGGAAAAAACAGAATAGACTCAAATAAATAAAACTGGAAATGAAATAGGAGACATTGTAATTGATATCACAAAAATACAAAGGATCATAAAAGGCTATTATGGAAAATTATATGCCAAACAATTGGTTAACCTAGAAGAAATTGGTGAATTCCTAGATACATACAACCTATCAAGACTGAATCATGAAGAAATAGAAAATCTGAACAGACCAATAATAAGAAAGGGTATTAAATCAGTTAAATAAATAAATCAGTTAAATAAATATGTATAATAGTTTATTTTATGTACATATAAAAGAAAATAAAACAAATTCCACCAATCTGAAGGACTCTTTAGTGTTTCTTGCATGTCTAGTGGCAATGATTTTCCTCAGCTTTGGTCTTGGAATGTCTTAATTTCTTCATTTCTGAAGGTCATTTTTGCCAGATACAGAATTCTCAGTTGATAGGTAGTTATTCTTTTAGCATTTAAAATATACCATGCACCCTATTGGTTTGCAATGTTTCTGCTGAGAAATTCATGGATGCAGGTTGAATATCCCTTATCCAAAATGTTTAGGATGATAAGTGTTTCAGATTTTTGATTATTTATTTTGGAATATTCGCATTACACTTCCTGGTTGAGTATCCAAAATTTAAAAATCCCAAATCCAAATTGCTCCAATTAGCATTTCCTTTGAGCAAAATGGCAATCAAAAAGTTTCTGATTTGGGAGCATTTCAGACTTTGAACTAAGAATTTGGGATGCTCCAACTGTAATTTGTGGAGGACTCCTTAAAATTGATGTCACTTCTCTCTTGCTACTTTCAAAATTTTCTCTTAAGCTTTGACTTTTTAAAAATTGCCACTATTATTTTAAATTCAAGCGGTATATGCACATATTTCTTACATGGGAATATTGTGTGATGTGGAGCTTTGGGGTATGACTAATCTCATCACCCAGGTAGTGAGGATAGTACACAATAGGTAGTTTTTCAACACTTTTCCCCTTCCTTCCTGCCTTCCTAGTGGTCCCTAGTATCTATTTTCCCCATCTTTATGTCCATGTGTAACCATTGCTTAGCTCCCCATTATAAGTAAGAATATAGAATATTAAGTTTTCTATTTCTGCATTAATTCACTTAGGATAGTGGTCTCTGGCTGAACCCATTTTGCTGCAAAGGACATTATTTTATTCTTTTTTATGGCTCACAGTATTACATGGTGTATATGTACTACATTTTCTTTATCCAATCCACCCTTGGTTGATTCTGTGTCTTTGCTATTATGAATAGTGCTGGACTGAACATATGAGTGTATGTTTCTCTTTGGTAGAATGATTTCTTTTCCTTTGGGTATATAACCAGTAATGGGATTGCTAGGCAAAATGGTAATTCTATTTTTAGTTATTTCAGAAATCTCCAAACTGCTTTCCGCAGTGGCTGAACTAATTTACATTCCCACCAGCAGTGTATAAATATTCCTTTTTCTTTGCAGCCTCACCAATATCTTTTTATTAACATTTTAATAATAGCCATTCTGACTGGTGTGAGATAGTGTCTCATTGTTGGTTCTGATTTGCATTTTTTTATTAGTGATAGTGAACATTTTCTCATATTTTTTGGCTACTTGTATGACTTTCTTTGAGAAGTATCCATGTCATTTGCCCATATTTAATGGAGTTTTTTTTTTTTTTTGCTGTTGAATTATTTAAGTTTCTTATAGATTCTGGATAGTACACTTGTGTCAAATGCATAGCTTGTGAATATTTTCTCCAATTATGTAGGCTGTCTGTTTACTCTGTTGACAGTTTCTTTTGCTGTGCAGAAGCTCCTCAGCTTAATTTGGTCTCACTAGTCAATTTTTGTTTTTGTTGCAATTGCTTTGGAAGAACTCATAATAAATTTGTTTCAAGGCTGATGTCCAGAATGGTGTTTCCTAGGTTTTCTTCTAGAATTCTTATAGTTTGAAGTCTTACATTTAAACCTTAAATCCATTCTGAGTTAACTTTTGCACATGGTGAAAGGTCCAGTTTTATCCTTCTGCATATGGCTAGCTAGTTATCCCAGCACCATTTATTAAATAGAGAGTCTTTCCCCATTGCTTTTTTAGTTAAGTTTGTCAAAGATCAGTTGGTTGTAGGTGTGGAGTTTAATTTCTGGGTTCTCCTTTCTGTTCCATTGTTCTATGTGTCGTTTTTGTACCAGTACCATGCTGCTTTGGTTACTGTGGCCTTGTAGTATAGTTTAAAGTTGGGCAATATAATGCTTCCAGCTTTGTTCTTTATGTTTAGGATTGCTTTTGCTATTCAGGCTCTGATTTGGTTCCATATGAATTTTAGAATAGATTTTCTAATTCCATGAAAAATGACTTTGGTGATTTAATAGAAACAGCATTGAATCTGTAGATGGCTTTAGGCAGTATGGCCATTTTATCAATATCGATTCCTCCATTCATAAGCATGGAATTCCATTTGTTTGTGTCATCTATAATTTCTGACAGCAGTGTTTTGTAGTTCTCTTTGTAGAGATCTTGCACTTCCTTGGTTAAATGTATTTCTAGGTATTTTATTTTTGTTGCTATTGTAAATGGGACTGCACTCTTTATCTGGCTCTTGGATTGAATGCTATTGGTGTATAGAAATGCTACTATTTTTATACATTACTTTTGTGTCCTAAAACTTTACTCAAGTCATTTATCAATTCTAGGAACCTTTTTTATGGAGGCTTTAGGGTTTTCTAAGTATAGAATCATATCATCAGTGAAGACAGTTTAACTTCTTTTCCTATTTGAATGTCTTTTATATCTTTTCCTATTCGAATGCCTGATTGCTTTGGTTAGGGCTTCCAGTACTGTTTTGAAAAGTAGTGGTGAAAGTGGGCACCTTTGTCTTGTTCTAATTCTCAAAGTGAATGCTTCCAGCTTTTGCCTATTCAGTATAATGCTGGCTATGGGTTTGTTATAATGACTGTTATTATTTTGAGATATGTTCCTTCAGTGCCTAGTTTGTTGAGGATTTTTACCATGAAAGGATATTGGATTTTATAAAAAGGTTTTTCTGCATCTATTGAGATGACCAAATGGCTTTATACCTTCCAAGATTGAATCAGGAAGAAAATGAGACCCTGAGCAGACCAATAATGAGTTCTGAAATTCAGTCAGTAATAAAAATAACCAGGCAACAAATAAAAGCCCTGGACCAGATGGATTCACAGCCAAATTCTACCAGACATACAAAAAAGAGCTGGTACCACTCCTACTGAAACTATTTCAAAAAATCAAGGAGGAAGGACTCCTCCCTATCTCATTCCATGAAGCCAGCATCACTCTGATACTAAAATCTGGCAAAGACACAATGAAAACGGAAAACTACAGGCCCATATACCTGATGAACATACATGCAAAAATTCCCAACAAAATATTAGCAAATGAAATCCAGCAGCACATCAAAGAGTGAATTCATCACAACCAAGTAGGCTTTATTTCTGGGATGTAAGTATGCAAATCAATAAATGTGATTAATCACATAAACAGAATTGAAATATTTGGCTTTTGACAGTTTGATTATAAGGTGTTTCAGTTTGGGTCCCTTGGGATTTATCTTAGTTGGAGTGCTTTGAGCTTCTTAAATTTGTACATCCATATTTTTATAATATTTTGGAAGTTTTCATCCATTGTCTTTTCAAATAATACCTCTTTCCTTTGTCTCTTCTAATTCTGTGACTCCTACAATAGATACATTGGTCAGCTTTGATGGTGTCCAAGCTCGGTTCACTGTTTTCCATTTTTAAAAATTTTGTTTTTCAGACTTGACAATTTCAATTGCTGTTTTCAAATTCACTGATTCTTTCTTCCCTGCTCAAATCTGCTGTTGAATTCCTCTAGTGAATTTTTTAATAGAGCTCTATTTTTCAGCTTCAGAATTTTCTTTGTATAATTTCTATCCTTTGTTGATATTCTCATTTTGTTGATATATCATTTTCCTGGCTAAATTTAATTTTTTGTCCATGTTTTCCTTTATGTCTTTGAGCATATTTAAGATACATGTTTTAAAGTCTTTGTCTAGTAAGTCCAATATCTTCCTTAGGGACAGTTTCTGCCTATTTTGCTCCTTGGAGTGGGCTATGTTTCTCTGTTTTTCTTTGTGACTTATGATTTTTTTAATAGGGCATTTGAAAAAACAGCCACCTCTATCTGATTTGGCAGACTGGCTCTATGCCAGGGAAGTCCTTCATTTATTAGCTAGTCTTGCTCTGAACTTAGGTATCAGTCCCAGGTGAAAAACTAAATTCTTCTCAGGTATTTTCTGACCATGCATTCTTATCTTGGGCCACATATAGTTTCTTAGCTTCCCACACTATGACTGATTTTGAATGTCTTAATTTCCCAAAGAGCATCACCCTAGATTCTTCTCAGGGTTCTGAATGATCTAATGTATGTCTCCACCTATAATCTTTTACCCCAGGCATTGGTAAGTCTGTAGTATTTCTGCAGTTTAACAAGTATTGCTGCTGCTTTTCCTCATTGAGATCTGAGTTAAGAAGACAGTTACCAGTCTTTCAGGTAGTCCCCAGGCAGATGAGAAGTTTGCAGATAAGATTTTCTCTGCTCTCTCCAGTTACAGGCAGAAAACTGGGAGCTGGGCTGCCACCTCCTTCAGACCAAGACCACACTGGACTGAGGAGAAGGTGGAGCAAGGGAACATAAAAATTCCACAAAATCTCATTCTACTTTGAAGGTGGCTTTTTCTTAACTGGACATATATTTGGTTGCTATGGACTTTTGACTATTTTCTCAAGCTCCTTTAAGATTAAATCAACCAATTTCTGGGTATTTCTTGATGCTTTCATGGGGGAAACATGGAGCTTCCAAGTTTATCATTTTGCTAATGTCCAGCCTCATGTCTTTCTAAATATAACTTTATTTAATCATTATTACTTTATGCAAATTAAGAGAGATTCTCTAACGGAAACATTTATAGTGAGTAATATATACTCTTTTGTTTCTAAATCTCATCAGGATGTGAAAGCCATTGAATACAATATGTTACTCTTCTGGAAGAGAGCCATTTACTATGCTAGCCCCAGATTAAACTCTTATTGATTAAGTTTATAATTTTATGATTAGTTCTTAATAAATCCAATTATAAAATCACCTGAGAGTTGCATGCCTAAAGTATTTAAACAATCTACAACAAGTAACACTCTTTTTTCTATCTTACTGCCCAGTTTTGCCATTTTCTCTCAAAGGTTTATAGTTAGCCTTTGCTAGTAGGGTCCTTCTGCTTATTTTGTTGTCTTTTCTATCACCTATGGGCATTGCATTTTAAGTTATATGTTATCTAAATTGTATATGTTTTCTAAGTTAAGATGTAATTCAACTTGAAAGATGGAAATCGTTACCTAAAATTATTTTAAAACTTAGCACTGACCATGGTTCTAGAGATTATACAATTCAATTCCTTCATGATCCAGATGTGGACATGATAGACAAGATCAATGTCACTGAGCTAGTGAGTCATAAAGTTATAACACAACAAGCCCTTTTATTCATACTCTCATGCCCTTTTTATTATTTTTACTTTGTTTTATCCATTCTCCCAATTACTTTGATAAAAACTACATTGTACTATAAGGCATAGTCATTTCCAGGGGTCAGACTGAAAATGTTTAACAATCAGAATTGCTGAAGCAGAGTGTTAGAGGAGAGCCCTACAATTCCAGATTTTAGCCCTTTGTATGTAGAGGGTATGGGTGAGGCAGGGGAGAAAATAAGATAGCTGGGGACAGAAAACACCCATCTGGATCAAAGAAGTGGCTATTTACCAATAGCTATGTATAGAAATACATGGAAGTATTTCCATATTTTAATAGCAGAACTACAGCAAACTGGCTTAATGTTACATCAAGTCAATTCCTTATTTTCTTTGTCTTTCTGATGCTTCCAGGATAATTTTTCAGACCCTAGAATCTGTTAAGTCCAGCCTTTTCTGGAAAAAAAAAGAGTAAAATGATTTACCTAGCAACTTCTCCTGCTTTAGGAAGCTGATGGGCAACTGGTTGCCAGGCAACCACTAATTTTTTTCTAGCAAACAAAATGAAGAGATCACATTTTTTCTCAACAAAA